>NC_000017.11:3672929-3824444 GCF_000001405.40 Homo sapiens | reverse complement strand
CATGTGTATGTATGTATATGTATGTATGTGTATGTGTATATATGTATGTGTGTGTATGTATATGTGTGTGTATGTGTATGTGTGTGTGTATGTGTGTGTGTATGTATGTATGTATGTATATGTATTATACACATATACACATATTGGTTTTTTTAATCATTTGAGAGTTAGTTGAAGATAAAAACCCATCACCCCTAAATGTATTCCAAAGAATAAGAACATTGTTTTATACATAGCACACTTAACAAAATCAAGAAATTTAACATTAATACAGTACTGTTACCTAATCCGTAGTCGATTTTCAAATTTTGTCAGTTGTTCCAATAATGTCCTTTATATATTCCCCGCCCAGCCCCAGGTCTAGGATCCATCCAGGACTGAGTGTGTAAGTATGTAATGTTTCCTTAGTCCCCCTTAAGCTGAAACTACTTCTATCCTCCCATGTTTTCCAAGAATATAGGTTTACTATTTTATACAATGTCCCTCAGTTTGGGTTTGTCTGATGATTCCTCCTGATTGAATTTGGGTTGTGCATTTGAGACAGGCGTGCCACAGAAGCGATGTCATGTCATTTCCAGAGCATCATGTCAGGAGGCCCTGGATACTTACTCGTCCCAGTCCTAGGGACGTTCACTTTATTCACTTGGTTAAGGTAATCATCACTAGGTTTTTCCACTGTAAAGTTGCTATTCTTCCATTTGTAATTTAAAAATTGGTGGGCTGGCTGGTTACAGTGGCTCGTGCCTGTAATTGCAACACTTTGGGATGCTGAGGCAGAAGGATCACTTGAGCCCAGGAGTTCGAGACCAGGCTAGGCAACATAGCAAGACCTCATCCCTATTTTAAAAAATAAAAAAATGATTAAAATAAAAAATTGGTGGGCAGATACTTTGAGATCACGTAAATAGCCTCTTGCTCATCAGAGCTTCATGCCTTTCTGACTATGTCATTTCTTTACCAGTAGACAGGTGCTCTAAGGAAGAGCCTTCTGTTTTTACCTGTTTGTTTATTTACATCAGTTTAGAATCATGGATTCTTTATTCAGTGGGTTATCATCCATGGATATCAGTATTTAATTTTATTTATTTTTTTGTTTGTTTTGAGACGGAGTGTTGCTCTGTCACCAGGCTGGAGTGCAGTGGCGCGATCTTGGCTCACTGCAACCGCTGCCTCCCTGCAACCTCTGCCTCCCTGCAACCTCTGCCTCCTGGGTTCAAGCAATTCTCCTGTCTCAGCTTCCCTAGTAGCTGGGACTACAGGTGCATGCCACCATGCCCAGCTAATTTTTGTATTTTTAGTAGAGATGGGGTTCACCATGTTGGCCAGGATGGTCTCGATCTCTTGACCTTGTGATCCGCCCGCCTCAGCCTCCCAAAGTACTGGGATTACAGGCGTGAGCCATCGCGCCCAGCCTAATATCAGTATTTTAATTTACAAATTGTCTTGGATTTGGCCAGTAGAGCCCCTTCAAGCTGTTTTGACATACTCCATGATTCTTTAAGCACTTTCTTTCTTTATGGCACAACAAAACATCTTGCTTTTCCAGACTCATTTTGCATCTTACCTGCTCCACATCTGGAATCAGCCATTTCTCCAAGGAGCTGGTGGGCATGGTTTGAGGGGTTCGGGGGTTGGGGGCTATACATACTGGTTTGTGTTGTCACGTTTACCTACAGCCCTGGATATATTTACAGTGGTGTTTGTTCTTTACAGTCAGAGTGTCCAAGAACTGTGGAAGGTCTTTGTATTACTACTTTTGACAAAAATTTATGATGACTGACCACCTTTCTTTCCTGTTAACTGACATTTCAACTTGACAAATGTGATCTTTACCACATTTACTCATTTGAGTGGCTGAGTACATTCTACATGTATAGTATTATGCTGTTTTCTTTAAGCCATTTTGAGGAGCACAATAAACTGGAAAAATGATTTACCAAATATATGGAATTATATGTAGTCTGTTTCCTTAATCCTGATGCTGTGTTGTTGGCATGTGATCCTTCAGAAGTGAATATCATCTTTCATGGGGTGGCAAAAATGCCACTATTTTGAGAAAGTCTTTTTGATTCCTGGGTACCTGTAATGACCTAAAGCTCTTTTATGCCTTTTGGAACCTTGTATCTTGTATTGTTTATTTTTGTTTTCTCCATTAAGTCATCTGGCTCCAAACAGCAGTTTTAACCTCATTCGTCTCTGTATTTTGCTTTATCCCCTCTACACTGCATTGCTGTAGTGGGCACTCAGAGTGTGAATGTTGGTAGTGGATTTTTACTTTTTGTTGGCAAATTGCGCTGATCTGATTCCAGCTATGGAAAACATTAAAAAAAAAATTCAACATTGTCTTTACACTCACAGGAAATCCTAGGTAACTATTGTCATTAATTTTTAGATGACAAAAAGGAACTTGGAGCAGCCAGAAGAAGTCAGTATTACATGAAATATGGGAATCCAAATTATGGAGGCATGAAAGGAATTCTTAGCAATTCATGGTGAGTCCAAAACCTTCAAATGCAATAGTATTTGAGTTTTTCTTAATCCTTCAGTTGGTATTCCGTGGTGAAATGTCTAAACCCTGTGTAAACTGGAAGGAAAACAAGAGGGAAGAATTCAAGATTCTTAGATGTGGTAAATGATGGGGAATGCTGAATTGTAGTTACATTTAAAATATCTGTGTTAGTACCTAACATTGTGTCAACGTGTAGTTGAAATGAATTAGCGAGCCCAGACATGGTGGCTCACGCCTGTAATCCCAGCACTTTGGGAGGCCGAGGCCAGCAGATCACCTGAGGTCAGGAGTTCGAGACCAGCCTGGCCAACATGGTGAAACCCCGTCTCTACTAAAAATACAAAAATTAGCCATGCATGGTGGTGGGCGCCTGTAATCCCACCTACTCGGGAGGCTGAGGCAGGAGAATTGCTTGAACCCAAGAGGCAAAGGTTGCAGTGAGCTGAGATGGTGCCATTGCACTTCAGCCTGGGAGAGAGATTGAGACTCCATCACAAAAAAAAAAGAAAAGAGAAAGAAATAGTGGATTTCAAGGTCCTTCCTATCAGTTTTTGATTGTGTGCTTATTTTGGCATTCTTGCAGGAAGCGAAGATATCATTCCCGTCGTATTCAGCGGGACGTGATCAAGAAGAGAGCCCTGATTGGGGATGACGTTGGCTTGACGTCGTATAAACATCGACATTCTGGTAGTTGCCTGCTCAGCTCTTGGGTAGACACATGTTTGGCTCCTGAAATCATATTTTTATTCTTAATGCAATCTTTTAAGGTTCCAAACTTTATCATCCTCTCTTCCTTGCCCTCACCCTCTGCCAACATATAGGAAAGTAAGTCAAGTCACAATTAATTTTAAGTTGCCCAAAGAGGTCAAATGATTTTATAAAAGCTGTTCTATCAAAAAAGGCAAAATATGACATAGGAAAAATTAAAACAAAACTTTCCTTAGGATCCTAATTTTTCTACTATTAATATCAACAGCTGCATGAAAACAATTTTTTTTTTTTTTTTAAGACGGAGTCTCGCTCTGTCTCTCAGGCTGGAGTGCAATTGCTTGATCTCGGCTCACTGCAACTCTGCCTCCTGGATTCAAGCAATTCTCCTGCCTTAGCCTCCCGAGTAGCTGGGACTACAGGCATGCGCCACCATGCCCAGCTAACTTTTGTATTTTTAGTAGAGATGGGGTTTCACCATGTTGGCCAGGCTGGTCTCGAACTCCTGACCTTGTGTTCCACCCACTTTGGCCTCCCAGAGTGCTGGGATTACAGGTGTGAGCTACCGCGCCTAGCCAAAAACAATTTTTGAAATTATTTTATCAGATGAACTGATTGTATTGTTCTTTTTCTGTATTAAAAATAGGCTGCTGTGTTGAGTGCTTTGTGCTTGTTGGTTTGTGCATGTGAATGCCTCAGAAGAGTGGGATATCATGACTTGGGTTTCTTTCTCCTTTTTTTGGTGCTTATTGTAAAAGAACCATTTTATTTATGTTTTATAAAGAATTGTTCTTGTTTTGAGCCTAATCTATGGAATCTTCTACATGCCTAATAGAACTAGTCAAGTCAGCATACAAAATAACATATACACACATTTATCATTGTAATGGGGACAGAAAGGGATGAAGTCTAGATGTTTTATTTAATGTGTATATACAAAATTGTATATTTGAGATCTACATGTTAATAATACACATAGGATGGGAACAGTGGCTCACACCTATAATCCCAGCACTTTGGGAGGCCAAGGCAGGAGGATCACTTGAAACCAGGAGTTTGAGACCAGCCTGGGCAACATAGTGAGACCTTGTCGTTACAAAAAATTAAAAAATTAGCCAGACCAGGCATGATGGCACATACCTGTGGTCCCAGCTACTTGGGAGGCTGAGATTGCCTGAGCCTGGAAGGTCAAGGCTGCAGTGAGCCAAGATTGTGCCACTGTATTCCAACCTGGGCGACAGAGCAAGACTTTGTCTCAAAATAATAATAATAATACACATACTTTACTGTTACACAGTTACACTTTTCCAATTTGAGTTACTTTAAAATATTTTCATCATATACTTTTTATATCCATATTAAGGAAATTAAAAAGCAAATTGCCCCTATTTCTAGTACCCTGTATGATGACTGAGTTCATCTTACATTTTTCCCATTTGTTTTCATAATAAATAGTATAACTCTTGGGAACATGTACTTTATATTCTACTTCTTTCGTTTATTGTATTTTTCCATTTTCATTATTCATGGTGCTTATGTTCTATAAAGTCACTGTGAACACTGAAGTAGCAAATACTGAATCGTACATAGCCTCTGGCCACATCATTTTTGTCAGTTGATCAATATGTAACCTTGTTTTACATATGTTTCTCTCTTTTTTTTTTTTTTGAGACAGAGTCTTGCTCTGTTGCCCAGGCTGGAGTGCAGTGGCGCGATCTCGGCTCACTGCAACCTCCGCCTCCCGGGTTCACGCCATTCTCCTACCTCAGCCTCCCGAGTAGCTGGGACTACAAGCGCACACCACCATGCCCGGCTAATTTTTGTTGTATTTTTTAGTAGAGACAGGGTATTAGCATGTTAGCCAGGATGGTCTCGATTTCCTGACCTCGTGATCTGCCCACCTCGGCCTCCCAAAGTGCTGGGATTACAGGCGTGAGCCACCGCGCTGGGCCCATATGTTTCTCTTTAAGACACCTTATTTAAGACACATTGTTGATTCGTTAACATTGAGTTCACAGCCAGTAGCCCTATAACTCATGCCTGAATGCCTTACCTGATATGGTATTTTTCCACAAGGCACATCACAGCCCCCTTGCATCTAGGAACACTAGGCAGCACTTCGGCACGACACTCAGGGCCATTTTAAGCAGTGAAATCACTAGCAGCAGGCACAGAAGTGTGAAAAATGTGCCACTCGGTGGACTGAAACAGACGCTTGTTTACAGCATGAGATGAAACAGGAAGGTGGAGTGTTGCTTTGTTTGACCTCCACTGGGAGTGTGTGTGCCTGGTGACTCAGATTTTTTTGCCACTCTGTGCGTGCCAGCAAATGACCATGGAAGCATTGCACGTATTCATTTTGGAGTTACAAATAAATTTGGTAAATTTGCAAATACAAAATCTGTGAATAATAAAGGTCAGTTGTATTTTAAATGACTTTATGGTATTTGGTTAGGCTGCTGCATCATACTTTACCTAGCCATCCTCCTGTTGCAGTATCAGAGTAATGTCCATTTGGCACTATTATAGATAGTGCTCCAATAAAATGTCAGGGATGGGAACCCCACCTTTTAAAAAGGTCACCGATGTAGAGTAGAAAATCATACTTGTTAATTTTAGTGCTTTTCCTAATGTTTTCTGGTTAAATTTCTTCAGGGCTAGTGAATGTTCCCGAGGAACCCATTGAAGAGGAGGAAGAGGAGGAGGAGGAGGAAGAGGAAGAGGAAGAAGAAGACCAGGACATGGATGCAGATGACAGAGTGGTGGTAGAGTACCACGAGGAGCTCCCGGCTCTCAAGCAGCCCCGGGAGCGGAGCGCGTCTAGACGATCCAGTGCCAGCAGCTCAGACTCAGATGAAATGGACTATGATCTAGAACTGAAAATGATTTCCACGCCTTCACCAAAGAAAAGCATGAAAATGACTATGTATGCTGACGAAGTGGAATCTCAGTTGAAAAATATTAGGTAAAAATTTGTTTTATCAAAGCTAGCTTTTAATTTGATTTTAAATACTAGTATAACTTCTTAATTCCTCCTAATTTTATAATATCTTTTATCTATTCTGATTTCAGTCCCTTGTAGGAGTTTAATAAACGCATCCAGTATTTCCTCTATACAAGCAGTGATTCTTGTTATAAAAACAAAAGACAACATAGAAAGTGAAAATCATCTGTATTCCCATTCTTTCTCAACAATAACTACTGTTAGCAATTTGGCGAATAACCTTTCAGCTATTTGTGTGTGTGTGTGTGTGTGTGTGTATGGCACAGGGAAAAGCTGTAGATATATTTGTATAAAAGTATACTTTTTATAAAGATGAGGTTATGCTATTTATAGTTTTGCATTGTGCATTTTTCACTTAATATATTGTAGACATTATTTTTTTCAACTGTATATAGTCTGTTGTTTGAAAGTATCATGATTTATTTAACGAATTCCTTTTTGATGGACTTTAGGTTTCTATTTTCTTACAATTGCACTAACTCAATAAATTCCTCAAAGTCCAGTTATTACACAAAACAATATGTGTTTAAAAAGATGGTAAGTATTGCTTTATTTTTTTCCAGAAGGGTTTTTTGTGTGTTTTTATTTTTTTTTTGAGACGGAGTCTCGCTCTGTCACCCAGGCTGGAGTGCAGTGGCGCGATCTCGGCTCACTGCAAACTCCGCCTCCCAGGTTCACGCCATTCTCCTGCCTCAGCCTCCCGAGTAGCTGGGACTACAGGCGCCTGCCACTACTCCTGGCTAATTTTTTGTAATTTTAGTAGAGACGGGTTTCAGCATGTTGGCCAGGATGGTCTCAATCTCCTGACCTCGTGATCCACCTGCCTCAGCCTCCCAAAGTGCTGGGATTACAGGCATGAGCCACCATGCCCGGGCTCAGAAGGGTTTTAATCCCAGAAGGGTTTTAATCACTCACATTACCACCTGTTACCTACAAGCTCACCAGCCTTAGCTATTACCATTCTTTCTAATGCTAGCTAGTTTCATGAACAAAAAAAAAATAGTTATTTTAATGTGCATGTCTTTGATTACTACTAGGGGTGAGCAGATTCTGTGCAGGCAGAATCCACAGTTCTAAGGGTTAGAGTCTAGGGATGCTCTGTGTAACGTAGTATGTTTGTGGGGAGGGGAAAAGACCATTCAAGCTGATTTGTTTGTATGGCCTTGTTCACCACGTTCTTTTTTTTTTTGAGACGGAGTCTCGCTCTGTCGCCCAGCCTGGAGTGCAGTGGAGCGATAACACGATCTCGGCTCACTGCAAGCTCCGCCTTCTGGGTTCACAGCATTTTCCTGCCTCAGCCTCCCGGGGAGCTGGGAGTACAGGCCACCACGCCCAGCTAATTTTTTGTATTTTTAGTAGAGACTGGGTTTCACCATGTTAGCCAGGATGGTCTCGATCTCCTGACCTCGTGATCCGCCCGCCTCAGCTTCCCAAAGTGCTGGGATTACAGGCATGAGCCTGTTCACATTCTTATTTTTGGTTTTCAGAGAGCTTTCTGGTAGAGAATGCTGCCGGAACGGTGCTGGCACCTAGCATGATAGCATATCTCTTTGAAAGAGAAGTCTGCCCTTTAAAGAGAGAGACTGTAGACTATACTGTGTGTTGACTACAGCCACATCACAGCATGTGTAAGTGGAAGCCCCAATCTCTTTGTAGGCCTCTACTTAACGTTTGTCCCAGAAAAGGGGGACTTGTAGTTGTATGCTGTGTAATAGCACATACACATGTGGAAACCACCTTCGAAAACCTGCTCACCAGAACCAGTCTCTTTAGAGCAGGCAGATCATGGTTTCCATAAGCAAATAATTATAAGTTTATGGATTTGTAAGTGAATGTTGGCCATGTAAGACAGGATTTCTTAAATTGTTTCCTCCAAAGTATGAGATTGTTGTTTGGGTCTTGTCTCACAGTTGAAGTTGGTTAACTGTGCCCCATCCTACCCCCTTTTTAAAGGAACTCCATGAGGGCAGATAGTGTATCTTCAAGCAATATCAAAAACCGAATTGGTAACAAATTACCACCTGAGAAATTTGCAGATGTCCGACATCTATTAGATGAGAAACGTCAGCACTCCCGTCCACGGCCACCAGTCAGCAGTACTAAATCAGGTACTGTTCCTCACTTGGATTCCTGGCTGGATTCTGAGCTCCGGAAAGCAGACTGGGGCAGAGAGAGGTTCCTGAGTAAAACATGCGATGTGTGAACTGATTTAGCTGTCCTGGTTCATCATGTCTAAATTGTGGGCTAGGTGTTGGAAATTGAGGAAATGAAAAATAATCAGACTTCTGAAAAACTAGCTTTAAATGTTTTTATTCCAAATAATTACAGTTGTTCCTTGGTATGTCTGGGGGCTTGCTTCCAGGACCCCCTCCCCGCCCCCTACAGATACCAAAATCCATTGATGCTTAAGTCCCTTATATAAAGTGACATATTATCTGCATATAACCTACACACATCCTCTCATATACTTTAAGTCATCTCTAGATTATTTACAATACCTAATACGGTATAAATTCTTATCCTGTGTTGTGTAAAATTTGTATTATTTTTTGCTGTACTCTTATGTCTTACTTTTTTTCCACATGTATTCGATCAGCAGTTGGTTGAATCTATAGATGTGGAATCCATGGATGAGGAGGGCCAACCATATTTTCCTCTGTATGACACTGGTATACTTTATATACAAGAATAATAGAAATTAAGTTCGGTGGTTGTCTGAACAGTTAAGAGTTTGAACTAGATAATTTCTATGTTCAAACACTGATTCAGCAGGTCTTTAGCCGTACCTGCTATGTGCCAGACCCTGGTCTAGGTGCTAGGAATGTGAGAAGCCTTTGGAGGGGACGCAGAGCCGTCATAGATCTACTCGGGAAGTTGTGAAAGACTTCTTAGAGAAAGTAGCATTAGAGCCAGGCCTTGGAGAGGGTAGGATCTCTGTTGGCAAACCTGATTTTTTTACATGAGAAGTAACCTGATCTTACATCTATTTTAGAAAGACAACTTGAGGGTGGAGTGGGGTGGGGTAGAGAGTTAAAAAAGTAACAAGAGCCTGAACTAGGTCGGTGGAGACAGAATGGATAAAGAACAGGATAGTCTTGTGAAGGAAGACTCAGTGCTAGGAAGTGTTGGAGGAAAGGAGCTCAGGTCTCAGTGACCAGAGACCAGGGTGCTGCTCTCTGAGAGAAGCTAAAGTGAGAGGAGACCTCGGCACAGGGCCTCACCAACGAATGTGTTTCTGTTGTTGCTGTGGTGGTTAGGGGGAACTCAAGAGGACAGGCCGATTTCTGGGGGGATTGAGGGAAAAACACATTTGATCCTTTGCCTTTTCCAGTCTCTTTATATTTACTGGTTAAATGTAATAAGTTTATTGGGAACTACTTGTATGTTCAAAGATTGTGCCTTCCACTTTCCAGGAGCTCACAGGATTTTTTGTTCGCTGAAACTTTTGTAAATTACTTAGTCTTCTTGATTCTGCTTAAAGAAAAAAAAAAAAAGGTTGTTTCTTCAGAAATATAGTTCTGGAGTAATCAGTTGAGGATTTTTCCTCTGACAGCCCCTATGTCCGAATTTTCCTAAGGAAATCCAGACTGATTACAAAGGAAGAATACTTAGCAGCCTGATTGTCAGGCCCTGTGTCCTCGGGGCAGGGGTTAGCGCCAGATCCGTTAGAGGTGTCAGGCGGCTGGTGCCGAGCATAAAGCACACACACGGTCACTGGTGCACTTTTTCTCTTTTTTCAGATATACGCCAGCGGTTAGGAAAAAGACCACATTCTCCGGAAAAGGCTTTTAGTAGTAACCCCGTCGTTCGGAGAGAGCCCTCTTCTGATGTGCATAGTAGGCTAGGTGTTCCCAGGCAGGATAGTAAAGGCCTCTACGCCGATACTCGGGAGAAGAAATCAGGTTGGTAACACTTAAAACGGATGGGAATGGGGATTCAGTGAGAGCAGAGGACAGTGGGTGTATTGGAGAAATACTTTCTTAGCAGAAGGCAAGAAACAGCCCACGCCAAATATAAGTGATTATTCCTTTTCCATTATAGTTATCGTCAGCATCAGCATCAGCATCATCCCAACAGTTAGGAACGCTTAGAAAATAGAAAAAAATAGCACACTCCTGGCTCTTTCTGTTTGGCACAAATCTTTTTAGTTTCATGTGAGCTATTCTGGTCTTTGCCCACATACAAATCCTAGTTTTTTCATACAGCATTTTATCGTAGTTGTTTGCCACATTTTATAATCTTTATAAATAAAACTTTTAGGCCAGGCATAGCGGCTCAACACCTGTAATCCCAGCAATTTGGGAGGCCGAGACGGGGGGATCACTTGAGGTCAGGAGTTCGAGACCAGCCTAACCAACATGGTGAAACCCTGTCTCTACTAAAAACACAAAAATGAGCCGGGCGTGGTGGTGGGCGCCTGCACCACTGCACTTCAGCCTGGGCAACAGCAAGACCTTGTCTCAAAAACAAAAACAAAAACAACTTTGAATTGCCTTATAATGTGGCCGTCTACAAAATTCTAAACACGTATTTCTCTATTGTTAAATTTTCATAAAATATATTTCAAAAATTAATGGAAGGGATCTGGGAGTGGCCTACTTCTGGCAGAATGGATTGGCACACAGGGTGGTGTCTCAGCAGGGAAGGGCAGGAGTAGGAGGAAACGGCCTCTCAGGTGATTCTGATGTGTCTGGTGACAGGGAGGGACCTGACCTGTCCCCCCACGGTGAGAATCCCGTGCTGGGTCCAGACCCTTCCGTTTGCGGGCAGGGGCTGCGGCCCGGGAAATGAGATTTTGCCTGCCCAAGGCTGCACTGTGGTGGCAGGCTCCACAGACTGCTGGCGTTTCCTGCACAGCAGGTGTTGGCAGTGCTGCTGCCCCCTCAGTGCTACCCTGGTTCTTAGCGCTGACTGCGAAAGTGAAATGCCATCTCATCCAAACAGGTAATTTATGGACTCGCCTAGGATCTGCACCCAAGACCAAAGAAAAGAATACGAAGAAAGTGGATCACAGGGCGCCTGGCGCTGAGGAAGACGACTCTGAGCTGCAAAGGGCATGGGGGGCTCTGATTAAGGAGAAAGAGCAGTCTCGCCAAAAGAAGAGCCGGTTAGATAACTTACCATCTCTCCAGATTGAAGTTAGTCGGGAAAGCAGCTCTGGTTCAGAGGCAGAGTCCTGATGCCCCTGGGGCCTATGGCAGCTGCCCTAAAGCCTGACATTCTTGCACAGGGTGGGGCGCGCAGTAGGAACCTCCCCCGCAGGAGCTGGCGCCCTCTCGCTCCTGCTCACACAGTCACCCTCCGCTCTTGCTACTTCGGCAAGACATCTTAAGAATGTGACACATTTTCAAGGGCATCTCTATCTTTCGCTGCAGAGTTGTAGTTCTGGGCCCTCGATTCCTTTCCCACCACCCCACAGGCTTTACCCTTTGAGAAAAAGGCAGCCCTCCAGATTTTGTAGACATTTTTCTTAATATTTTTAACATTGTGTCTTTTAAAAGAAATGTTTTACACAGTTCATCCAAAGAGCAGAGAACTGAACTTCTCACTATTGCCTTGGCCCTGACAGCTGTTACCAGCACCCTTTTCCCAAGAAAAGTCAATTCCCAGGTGCTTATTGGACATCCTTCGAGGGGGAAGAGGAGGGAAGCGGCCAGCTCACCCTTCCGGGACCCTAGTGTGGGGCGAATCTCACGGACCTGACCTCAGAGGTGCACCAGTGCCGCCCAGGTAGATAAGAGCTGCAGCATTGACTGTGCTTCCGTTCTTCCCTCGGGGATTGCTCATGGCATGGGCCTCTTACGTGCTGTCAGCTTGATGTGAAGATCAAGTTCAGTGCTGTGGGATTTTTAGGAACAAAAAACTGTGACGTCTGGATTTGGGGTTGATTTTTGTGCTGGGGTGGGATTATGGGTCAATGTTGAAGAATTTTTAAGTCTGTATTATGTTTAAAACATGAATGATTTGAAAGTTTAAATTTTTAATTTTTATATGTGGAAATTCTTCCTGTTGGCTAAAGGGGAAGCTCAAGTGGTGTCGTCTTTTGTGCTGTTAAATATATATTCTATTCTTTGGAAGAAGGCAGAGAGAGGAGTCTTATTATTTTTAAATGCTCCTAGTTGTATAGTCTGTCTGTTGTACATAGAGTTCAGCTTGTTTTTTGGCTCCAGTAGGAAAAAAAATCCATCCATCTGAGATGGGGTCCTGTTGTTTATTATCACTCTAGAAGTTATACATTGATATTTATTCTTTCTGTCCCCACGTTGTGGCACCTGAAGACATCTTCAAAATTGGCAGAAAAGATAATAGTTATAAAAATTTTAGTTCATTTATTTTTAAACTCCTTTCAGATTATTTTACCATTAGGAGGAGGTAGATTGTTTCGTCTTCCTGTCTGATTTTTGTTTTGTAGTATTTAATTTTGTATTCCTCTGCAGTTTTAAGAAACAGTGTTTTTCTTCGGTTTGCTGGAACATGGGCGTTAGAGATGGTAATAAACCGTGGTCCTTTTTGCGATGTCACGACTCTTCACCTGCCTGGGCTGTTGTGCACACAGTGCAGCCTGGATCCTGTCGATCTTTACTTGTGGCGGAGCTAATGGTCACATTGATAGTTGATTACACTGTGGCACGAATTAATGCAGAACACTGTTATTAATAAAGGAAGTAAAGGGCTGCAAGATTTGAGAGCTGCAACAAAAACTGTATTGTCCCATATTTTGTTGATTAACCTTGCTTTTTCTCCCTCCCTTTAGAGAGATTAGAGGATATAACCATGATATATTTCAGCTTCTTATTAGGATTCTAGGAAAGAGATGGTTCTGGTTTCTCTGCCAGTTGAGACTTAAGACATCTGAGATTTCTCAGCTTTTCTTTCCCTGTGAAGCATACAGCTGAGAGCCAGGTTCTTAGGAAGGGTCAGGGTTTGGGGAGTTGGTAGAGTGAGGAGTGCGGGGGCCTGAGAATCGGACACCTGGATGCCAACCCCTGGCTCTGCTCCATGGACCTGGGCCTCAGTTTTCCCGTCTAGCAGTTGAGTGGGCTGTTACCAGAATTCCTGGCTTTGTTGGTGCATCTCAGTGGCGGTTTACTCTTCCCAAGCTGTGACGGCAGTGGGCTCGCCAGCATGAATTTCTACTGCAGGTGGAGGAGGCGCCAGGGAGACAACTGAGGGCGCGCATGAGGTGTAGACAGGGGCTTATTCCCATCCCAGCACAGTCTCTGCTTCTACTGACGGGGCAAAGATGTCTTGTGGTCAGCGTCCCAGCTGGCATGCCTCTGCAGGGTTTAGAATATGCTCCTTCACAGACTTTCCTTTTGGTTTTACACCAGCAGCTCAGGTCCATTTGTTCCACGGCCTTTCAGCACTCAGCAGTCTCCTGCTACAGATCAGCGAAGCCATTCTGGAAGGAGGTGGTGTGCAGTCAAAACTGGGTCTTTGATGTAACCAAGAGAAATACACACTCGAGTAACCTTACAGTTTTCACAGACACACAGAGAGAACCCAGAAAGGCAGCTTTAAAGATTTTTACTTCTCGGAGTTACTGGCCTTATTAGTTTCTCTAACCCTCCTGCCCACTCTCAGTCACTCAGATCTTGCAACATCTTGAGTGTGTCCTGAATGATGAGGCCTTTTCTTTGGAGTTTAAGAGTAAGAATGGATAGTCAGGACAGGCCCGTGGCAGGCAGCTGGGCGTGATTTTACCCTGGACACTCCCCACACATGTGGGCACAGGGCTGCACACTTTGTGTGTTCCTCTTAGTCTTATGTGTAGGAGATTTTACATACATGTTTGCTGCTTGATGATAATTGCAGATACCTCATTTGTTTCCCACTCTCCTCTCTGGAGAGTTACCAGGTACCCAGGATAATTTGTGGCGTCCTCAGGATGTAGTCTCCTCCTCTGGCCCCCTTGTAGTCTGATCCTGTGAACCCCTCTCCGTTCTTCAGCCACTGCCCTTTCCAGCTGCATTTGTACAGCAGCCTCTTCACTGGTCTCTGCCCTGTCTCCATTCTGCACACTGCAGCGGGATGAACCTTTGTTGTTGTTACCAGCTTAATTTAGATGTAATTTGCATACAGTTCAGCCATTTAAAGTGTACACTTGAGTGGCTTTTAGTATATTTACAGTTATGCACCAGCACCGTAATCAATTTTAAAACACTTTGATCACCCAAAGAAACCCTGAGTCCATTAGCAATTCTCCCTATTCCCTCTTCCCTCTTAGCCTCTGGCCACCACTGATCTTCCTTCTCTCTCTGTGGATTTGCCTGTTCTGGATAGTTCATATAAATGGGATCATATACTATGTGTCTATTTGTGACTGGCTTCTTAACATATTTCTGAGGTTCATCCATGTCATAGCTTCTATCAGTATTTCATTTTTTAAAATTGCCAAATAATAGTCCATTTTATGGGTATGCCACCTTTTTTTTAATCCACATTGGTTAATGGGCATTTGAGTTGTTTCTACTTTAGGGCTATATATATATATTTCTATTTCTATTATTTATTTTTGAGACACAGTTTCGCTCTTGTTGTGCAGGCTGGAGTGCAATGGCACGATCTCGGCCCACTGCAACCTCCACCTCCGGGGTTCAAGCGATTCTCCTGCCTCAGCCTCCAGAGTAGCTGGGATTACAGGCATGTGCCACCACGCTGGCTAATTTTTTGTATTTTTAGTAGAGACAGGGTTTCACCATGTTGGTCAGGCTGGTCTCGAACTCCTGACCTCAGGTGATCTGCCCACCTCTTCCTCCCAAAGTTCTGGGATTACAGGTGTGAGCCACTGCACCTGGCCCTACTTTTTGGCTATTATGAATAGTGTTGCTACGAACATTCCCGAACAAGTTTTTGCAGGGACAGGTATTTTCATGACTCTTGGGTATATACCTAGGAGTGGAATTGCTGAGTCATAATTATCTTTAACCTTTTCAGGAACCACCAGGTGGTTTTTCCAAGCAGCTGTATCATTTTCCATTCCACCAGCAGTGTGCGAGGGTTCCAGTTTCTCCACATCTCCACCAACACTCATTATTTTCTGGTGTGAAGTGGTATCTCATTGTAGTTTTTTGTTTTTATTTTTTCTTTTTAAAATACATTTTGTACAGATGGGGTTTCGTTATGTTGCCCAGGCCGTCTAGCACTCCTGGCCTCAAGTGATCCTCCTGCCTTGACCTCCCAAAGTGCCGAGATTACAGGCATGAGCCACCACGCCTGGCTCTCATTGTGGTTTTGATTTGTATTTCCCTAATGACTAATGATGTCGGGCACCTTTTCACATGCTTCAGGATGAACTTTCTTAAATATATATCTGATTCTGTTATTCCTCTGCTTGAACGTTTTCCAAAGCTTCACTATTGCCCCGAGAATAAATTCCACACTCCTGATCGCATGAGCCCAGTAATTCAAGGCTGTGGTGAGCTATGATCAAGCCACTGCACTCCAGCCTGGGCAGCAGAGCAAGACCTGTCTCAAAAAATACATACATACATAAATTCCACCCTTTTTGATAGCATGTTATGAGGCTCACCAAGGTCTATCCTCTGGCAGTATCCCTGGCCTGTTCTCCCCATCTCCCCTGCCCTCTGCTCACCAGTTCCCTAAATGTATCTTGATCTCACTAGCCCTACAGACTGTGCACAGAGCTGTTTCTACCTCCAGTGACATGCTTCCGCCCAGGCTTCTCCCCCTCCCGCCTCAATCTTCCCCTCACCAACTTAAGGTCTTAGGGGCCCTTCTAGGAGGCAGTCCCCAACTTCCAGAGCCAGGGTATAGGCTACTTCTATGTGTCCCATGGTACTGCCACAGAAGAGTCTCAGCTCTCTCCAGGATTCAGTTCTAAGGTCAGTGCCTAAGATAAAAATGGAGTGTAATTAAAATTCCTCTTAGAAATCTAAGGAAGGTGCCCTATTGAAGACCAACATCTTGAGGTCCCATGTAGTCATTTCTTGCCCATGTGGGAACACATTACTGTTTGGTTGAGTACCAGGTGAAGTGATTGGCCTGCAGTTAGGGCTGTGTTGTGCAAAAATCACTTGTTTTGGGGTGTTAGAACCACATTTAGGCGAGAAGATCACTTTTGGGGAGCTTGGGAACTGAGGCAGGCCGCAGGTGCAGCAGAGGCATGAGCTTGCCCGGGCCCGCCCTCTTGTCTATGCTCATGGAGTGAAGGAGGGGCCAGCGGAATGGCCCAAACAACTGATTTGTTTTTCTTTTTTTAAATCTTTTTCAGACAAATACCATTGTGTTTAAGCGAAATGTGTGTATAATGCCAAATCACTGTACCCCACAACCCTGCACACCTCTACACTGGACTGTAATTTCTTGTTCCTAGTTTGTCTTGCTAGACTGTAAGCTCCGTGAGAGCAGGGACCGTGTCTGCTTGTTGAGTGGGCTTTCCCCTGTGCCTGCCAGCATGCCTGGCATCTAGCAGGTCTTCTGTAAAGATGGGATGAGTTTGTAAACCCTCCAGCCTCAGGAGTGGCTCCATCCTCTGAGGCTCTGGGGCCCTCTGGCAGGCTAGTCATTTTTCTGCCATGTACGTACAATGCTTTATTTTCATGTTGTATTTTCCTTTCTAGCCAGTAAGCAAGCTCCTAATGAGCAAGTTTCTTTGTGGTGTTATCTCTGTATCCTTTCATCAGGCCAGCCCAGAGTAAGTAGTGCTTCGAAAGTGTTTGGTAAATGAATGAATTATGGTAACCCAGCCCAGTTCTGGCATCACTGTCTGCAGGTTAGTCTAATTCCAGATGAAAGCCCCAGATTCGAAAAAGGGAAGATTATTCAGAAGTGCATATGGTTGTATAAGAAAAAAAAATCTCATTAAATAGACCTGAGTAAACTTCAAATTTTGATGATCTGGCCATGTCGGAGCTGAAGCTTACCAGCTCTCTAAAGCATTTGCTAGGGAATCATGCAGATGGTCCAAAATATTTTTTAGAAAAGCATTCATCTGTCCCGGGATAGAAGTAGAGGAAGCTGGTAGGCAGGCGCTAGACCCTAAAGAAGGACTGCTGAGCCAGTTCTTAAGCCTGTGGTCCTGTCGGTGAGGAAAGTGAGAGCAGTCCAGAGCAGGTGAAAAGAGCAGAGCTCATTCCTCCAGTGGCTCTTTTGCCTAAAGCAGCATTCCTCAAACTTCTCACTCGAAGCATTAAGTTACGGTGAGATGCTAACACACGCTTTAGACTTAAGTCAAAATTTACTGTGAAGCCACAGCAAACCATGGCTTCACAGATGAATTAGTTGCTACACAAATAAGTTCGATACATAAGTACAGTAATTGCTTTTAAACCTTATAATAAGCAGTAAATTAGAAGTTAAACCATGTTTTTCTTTTACGAACTGAAAGAAGAGAATGCTTTTGATACTGAGAATCGCACACTGTGTCCAGGAAGATTGTTCTTGCATAACCAGACCCACAATAAATATCTACAACTTTTCTTACATGTTTATAAAATAAATCTTAGAAGAAAAATATTGTAGCTTTTTTTTTTTTTTTTTTTTCAATGAAGCTCTATGAACATTTCACAGAACTTTGTTCCTGGGAGTAGTTAGGGAAATGCTGCTTCAAAAAGCCAATTTTAAGTAGTTGTGAGGCATCCGAGTGGAATTTGGCTGCACTATCCATAAAACTTGAGAGTATAGGCGGTATTTCACCTACCAAGGTCAGTACCCTGCCTCAGGATTCTTACTGTTCATTTGAGCAATTCCGGGGCCCTCTCTGGATGACCAGGTTCGTAAATAGTTGAGACTTTGTGTTATCTCAAATTGTCACCATCACCTCTGGGCCAATATAGGTTAGTGAGGTCGAGAGGCCCACACCATTGACAGAAGAGAATTCTCAGGCCGGGCTTGGTGGCTCACGCCTGTAATCCCAGCACTTTGGGAGGCCGAGGCGGGTGGATCACCTGAGGTCAGGAGTTCAAGAGCAGCCTGGCCAACATGTTGGAACCCCGTCTCTACTAGAAATACAAAAATTAGCTGGGCGTGGTGGTGGGTACCTGTAGTCCCAGCTACTTGGGAGGCTGAGACAGGAGAATTACTTGAACCCGGGAGGCAGAGGTTGCAGTGAGGTGAGATCGCGCCACTGCGCTCCAGCCTGGGCGACAGAGCGAGACTCCGTCTCAAAAAAAAAAGAAAGGATTCTCACCTTCCTGTCCCTTCCTAGGAGTTTTGTGGTAGTGTTCGATCCTGTGATGTGGCCATCTTCTCCTCAGGGCCTGTGAGAGGCAGGCAGCATCTTTAGCTGAGGTAGAATGCCTGTTGGGGAAAGTCAAATAGGATGGTGGCTGGGGCCGGGGCTCTGGGGACTCCTTCTGCCCCACATACTCAATTGGAAAGACTGAGCAAGTCCCCTCACCTCCCTGGGCCTCAGCTTCCCTGTCTGTCAAATGGAGGGCTCAACTGGGGTGAGCTCCAGTTTCCTTCTAGTGCTAACGCGTGTTCAAGGATCCTTGCTCTCCTTTCCGGGGAGCATCAGGGGTGTGGGCTAGATAGCAGGAAAGAAGTAGGGGTTTGTAAACAAGAGATCCAAGCCCCTGGACCCTTGGTCCCAGCACCCAGTGCAGCCCTCGCCCTCCCAGCCCCTTCCTTAGAAAGGACAAGAAAATCCACTCCTTGTTCTCTCCCTGTCCCATCACCCCCGCAGTCCCCCACAGATCTGAGGCCGGAGGATGCCAACATGGTGAGCACCCTCTTGCTGTCTTATTCACGTAGGCTTTTCTTGGTGCCTGCACATGGCTCTTGTAAGGCCACCAATCTTGCTGGATTATGACCTCATCTAACCTTAATTACTTCCTAAAAGCCATATGTCCAAGAAGAGCCACATTGGGGGTTAGGGCTTCAACATATGAATTTGGAGGACATTTACAGTTCAGTCCACAGCACCTGGTCATGTGGAGATCCCAGTCTGCATTTGTGGGATGAAATCTCTGCTTTTTTAAAGTTTACACACCACCTAGCTGGGCACGTGGCTCACACCTGTAGTCTCAGCACTTTGGGAGGCCGAGGCGGGGATCACCTGATGTCAGGAGTTCGAGACCAGCCTGGCCAACATGGTGAAACCCCGTCTCTACTAAAAATACAAAAATTAGCCGGGTGTGGTGGCGGGCACCTGTAGTCCCAGCTACTCGGGAGGCTGAGGCAGGAGAATCGCTTGAACCCAGGAGGCAGAGGTTGCAGTAAGCTGAGATTGTGCCACTGCACTCCAGTCTGGATGAAAGAGCAAGACTCCATCTCAAAAACAAAAATAAAAAAAGTCTACACACCAAAAGAGCTGAAGGCAGGAGAGTTTGTGGTGGTTCAGAGTCCTGATTCTGGAGGAAACAGGCCTGTTTGGAGTCCCAGCTCTGCTCCTTACTAGCTATGTGGCCTCTCAGAGGCAGCATCCTTATCTGAGAAATCGGGTTGACCTTGTAGGTGGCTGAGAGGCTCAGATGAGGGCTCGCATGTGAGGCCTTGGCACTGAGCAGGGCACTCCTACCGAGTGTTCAAAGGTCGTGAGTACCACTGCTCTGCAGCCCTGGGCTCTGGTCTCAGCAATGCCGTCACTCTTTCTGGCTTCCTAAGAGTCAGAAGGCAAGTGGGAGAATAGAACCATTTCCTGTGTCTGAAGGCTGTGCCTCAGTGCTTTTGACTCACTCTGAAGACAGCAGGCAGCCCTTTCTGTTTTTTTTGGAGATGAAGTCTTGCTCTTGTCGCCCAGGCTGGAGTGCAATGGCGCAGTCTCGGCTCACTGCACCCTCCGCCTCCCAGGTTCAAGCAATTCTCCCACCATAGCCTCCCGAAGCTGGGGCTACAGGCACACGCTGCCACGCCTGGCTAATTTTTTGTGTTTTTAGTAAAGACAGGGTTTCACCATGTTGCCCAGGCTGGTCTCAAACTCCTGAACTCAGGCGATCCGCCTACCTCGGCTTCCCAAAGTGCTGGGATTACAGGTGTCAGCTACCACGCCCGACCCACAGGCAGCCCTTTCACCTCACGCCGAGCACGTCTCCTCCATCCATGAACATTTTGCAACTTTTTTTTAAAGAGACAGGTTCATACTATGTTGTCTAGATTGGACTCAAACTCCTGGGCTCAAGCTTTCCCAAGTAGCTTGAACCTCTTAAGTAACTGTGACTACAAGTGCACCTGGCCACTTTTTCTGAGACGGAGTCTCGCTCTGTCACCCAAGTGGAGTGCAGTGGCATGATCTCCGCCCACTGCGAGCTCCGCCTCCTGGGTTCACGCCATTCTCCTGCCTCACCCTCCTGAGTAGCTGGGACTACAGGCACCCGCCACCACGCCTGGCTAATTTTTTTTGTATTTTTAGTAGAGACCGGGTTTCACCGTGTTAGCCAGGATGGTCTCGATCTCCTGACTTTGTGATCCGCCCGCCTCGGCCTCCCAAAGTGCTGGGATTACAGGCGTGAGCCACCGCGCCTGGCCCACCTGCCCATTTTTTAAAAACTTTATTCTTCCTGGTATCAAGGGGAGAAAGAAAAAAATTTTTTAAAATATTTAAAACTTTATTTTGAAATAATTTCAAAATCACAGCAGTTTGAAGGGTACAACAAAGAACATTTTGCCACATTTTCTCTTTCATTCGTTCCCTCCTCTTCTCCCTCACCCCTGTTTCTTCCTATCCTCTCTGAACCATGAACCATTTGAGGATTATTTGTATACATCATGCTCGTTTATCCGTAAGATGTTTTAGTGAACATTTCCCAAGAACAGGGACAGCCTCTCACATGCCCATGGTACAGTTCTCAAATTCAGGAAATGTGTAATATTCTCTGATCAGCCCAGGAGTTGCTAATTTGTAGTTCCTGTTTCAAATTTGCCAACTGTCCCAATAATGATTTTGAAAGCCGTTGTTTTTCTGGTCCAGGATCCAATCCAGGATCAAGCGCTGCCTTTAGTTGTCCTCTCTGCAGCCTCCTTTCGTTTGGAGCAGGTCCTCAGCCTTTCTGTCTTTCATGACATTGATGTTTGTGAAGAGTACAGTCCAGTTTCTGTTGTAGAACGTCCTTGAAGTTGGTCCCGGAATATTTGTTTAAAGTGAGTTGGGAAACCACATTCACATGTCTTTTGGTTATGTGTGTATTTGTCAAACAGCCAGCCTTGTGCTGCGTGCTGTGATGGGGAGCATTACTCAACAGAGCCTGGCCCTGACCTTGGGGATGTAGTTTGGGTTTGTGGGGAAAGCAGCTACCGCCAGGTGGGCTTTACGGACCCCTGTGTGTCTCATGACTAGAGGCACTGACGCTTGGATAAATACATACTGGATGGATGCAGGATGAGTCCGCATTCTAGAAGTGTGCAGAGGTACAGAAGTGGCCCTGCTCCCTGTCCAGCACCCAGTCATCAGCTTTCCCTGGCTTCCCGAGGCACCCTGACGTTCACACTCCAAACACAAAGTCTTCTCTCAGGAATCTCGAGTGAGCTGCAGTCTGGGTTCTAGCCCTGCCCTAGCAGGGATCTGCTCAGTGACTGGGCTGCTCTCTTCCTGCTTTAGGCCAATGCGGGGGAGAGGAGACCACTGTGACTCTCCCCAGTGCCCTTGGAGCGCAGAATGAAGTGAGGGGAGGAGGAGGGTCACGAGCCCTGGAGCGCTGGGAAGACAGGCTGTAGGCCGCAGGCCCCGATCCTGCCTGGGACGAGGTTCAACAGAAGTAGGATGGTTTCATCATGACCTGGCAGGAAAACCACCAGACCTGGAATTTTGCTTTTACAACTGTTTAACTTCTGTTTCATACAGGATGGAAACCGGTGAATTGTAATCTCACATAACCGAGCAAGATCTAGTAGTCATAAGCACTTTGTCAGAGCAAAGCAGACAAGGCAAAGTGTTGGAAATGTCATCGGATCTTCACAGAACCTTAGCCAAGCAGCCTTTCAATGCGAGAAACAAAATAACATGGATTTTTATCTAGTAATGAAGTCAACACCATTGTCCACCCTGGGTTAACACATTCACATCTCAAAGCGAATGGGGCTGCAGACACTCGTGTTAGAGAGCCTTGGAATGTCCTGCCTTTTTACGTTTAATTAAAATTAAATAAAATATACAAAATTCAGTTCATCAGTTGTTCTAGTGGCATTTTAAGGGTTTAGTACCATATGTGGCTCATGAGTACCATCCTGGACAGCGTCGACCTAGAGCAGTTCCATCCCCGCGCAGAGTTCTGTTTGACGGCGCCACTCTGCACTTCCAGCAGCCTGGGGAGCAGGGGTGCAGGAGAGTTCCTTCTGTGTCACAGACTTGGTCACACAGTACAGATCTCAGATCAGCACTTAAACACGACTGCCAGCTGTCAACGGCGTGTTCTGTGGAATGCTGGGATGCATCACAGGTATGCTGGAAGATGTATAGAATTTTACTTCTGTTATTCTGGTAACTCAGAGTCCTGTTCAGTCAGTTTCCACGTCAGGTTGCTGTCCTGGTTTTAAAGAGAATGAACGCAGCCGAAGTTGAATCGAGGCAGTGATTTCACTCAGTGCGTTGGGTCTTTCCACTCACCTGGCCCTCCAGAACCCCAGGGCCTTGAGTGCATGGGCTGGTACAAGAGCCCAGTTTTTGGCTGGGGAGGCACTTCCTATGGGAGGGGGACGCCTGTCTCAGTGCTGAGGCAACCACCACCGAGGACCCTGGGCTGGAAGCTGGGCTGAGATGTCTGGTGGTAGGTTCTGAGGCAGGACAGGGGACCGACTCAAATGGATGATACGAACGGCAGGCTGGATTCACGTTGCTCCTGCACCTCCAGCATCTGCTGAGGACACCTAGAACTGTGGCCCTGGCCAAACCTCAGCTCCCTATTCCATGAAAGTGTGGGTCAAAGTGTGGGTGGTAGAGTGGGGCTGACAGTGGCCCCTAAGCTCCTAGGGTCCAGCCCACAACTGAGGAAGCCACACGGCTGGTTGTGTACGAGCCGGAGTGTCTCTGTTTGGTTGAAAGTGCCGGTCTGTGGGTCCTTGCTGGTGTGTGTGCTTCTGTCCCCGCCTCCTGGCCTCCTGGCTGAGGGGAAGCTGAGTGGGCCACGGCCCATGTGTCGCACTCGCCTCGGCTCCCACACAGCCGCCTCTGCTCCAGCAAGGATGTGGCTCTTCCACACTCTGCTCTGCATAGCCAGTAAGTCCTCTCACCCGCTGCTTCGAGGGGCTGCTGTGCCCTCAGCTCCAGCCAGGTGTCTGCAGACTACAGCCTTGACTGTCTGTCTCTGATGGGGCTCAGTTAGAGCCAGAGGTTAGAGAGTGGCAGCTCCTCCAGGAAAGGAGTCTTGCTCGGTGGGTCAGGGCCCCAGGCTTGTTGGGAAGGGCGGCTGAGGCTTCGTGTTGCCAGTTCTGTCAGCCAGGGCCTTTGGACTCCAGGGCTCTGCCATTCTGTTCCTCCTCCAGCCAGCCTCCCCCCGCCACCGAGGCCCTCTCCCCATGGCACCCACTTGGGGCAGGTCCTTGACTCTGTAGTTTGTTCTCTGAGTGTGGAGGCTCCGCCTGGCAGAGCTCCCTTCTGTTACAGAGCAGGGGTTGGGCTGATGAGGGTGAGGACCCTGTGAGAGAGTGTTGACCAGAGACTGGGGGCAAGTGTCTGTATGGTAGAGGGTGTGAGTGTTGGCAGGGAGCCTGCTTCCTGTGTTGTCAGGCCCAGGGTAAAAACTGGAATGTGGGGTGGGGGGAGGCACTTCTGCTGCCTGGGGGGTCCCATTTTAGCCTTTAACTGTCCCATGGAAGCCTCTGGGCAAGCCAAGCCATGAGTCCTTTCGGGGGCCCCCTGTGATGAGACAGCACGGTCAGGTGAGCCCCTGGAGGCTGCTAAGATTAAGCCGGAGGCCAGGGTGGTCCTGCCTAGTGATCTGAGCAGACTTCCCATGGGTCTCCTGCCCCTGCTCAGGAGGTTGGCCGGAGAATTGGATGGGCATCAAGCTTATGTGGATGAAAGGCTCCTGGTAGCTGAGTTCTCCCTGAAAGATGGGCTGAGGCTGTGCTGGGAGGGGACTTGGGATTAGCATCCCACCTGGGGCCAGATCACCCAGGAAGCAGGCCACAATGTGTAGGGTACCAGCAAGGAACACGTTTTTGGACAGATTTTAATATTTTATATTTCATTTTATTTTATTTTATTTTTTGAGACAGAGTCTTGCTCTGCTGCCCAGGCTGGAGCCCAGGCTGGATCTTGGCTCACCATAACTTCTGCCTCCCAGGTTCAAGCAGTTCTCCTGCCTCAGCCTCCCGAGTAGCTGGGATTACAGGCGCCTGCCACCACGCCTGGCTAATTTTTGTATTTTTAGTAGAGACAGGGTCTCACCATATTGGTCAGGCTGGTCTCCTGCCCTCAGGTGATCGACCTGCCTCGGCCTCCCAAAGTGTTGGGACTACAGGCATGAGCCACCTTGCCCGGCCTAATATTTTATATTTCAAAAACATCAGAATAGTCACCATGGAAAGGTCAACAGTTTGTTGAACTTCCTTTTATTTTACAATTTAGACTTCTCTGTTTTTAGTTACATGTGGGGTGTGGAGAGAGTCTCACTCTTTTTATGGCTTGTGGCTTTGATCTCCCATTACCAAGAATATCTGGAGCAGATGCTTAGACTAGACTCTTGTCTA
Organism: Homo sapiens; assembly: GCF_000001405.40. Classification (NCBI taxonomy): domain Eukaryota; kingdom Metazoa; phylum Chordata; class Mammalia; order Primates; family Hominidae; genus Homo; species Homo sapiens. Next base: position 3,799,635 of record NC_000017.11, on the reverse strand, counting down.
CCCTCTCCCAGTACAGAGGAGGTGACTGGGGCACAGAGCGGGCAGTGACTACCCAGGCTTGCAAGCAACTGATAATAGACACGAGGCTCAAGCCCAGGCCTCTGTCCTGCCTCCCAGCTCCAGAATACTCCTGTGGCTCATCTGTCTCCTTTAGCCTCTGAGACCACCACCCATCACCTCAGTGCCTTTTCCAGCAGGTGGCATCGATCAAACCTCTTTTGAGGCCTAGGCCCTTCCCAAGCTGATGGGCAGCAGAGAGCGATGATGGAGCAGACTTGCCATGAGACCACTTAGCCCACAGCTCAGCTCAGCCACGGGAAGGGGACCAGAGCAGGGCCCCCGCAGCTCCGGTGTGGGTGGCGGAAACGAGGCTGCTGCAGTTCTGCTCCATGCTGTGAGGTCCTGAGACTAGGATGGGCCAGTCCAGGAGAGTTTCCTGGAGGAGGTGAGGTGGCGTTGAGTCTTGGGGGCTGAGGAGAGTCTGAGAAAGAAAATGTCCAGGAGATGCTGGGAGGAAGAACTCCCTCAGACTGTGGCTCCAGGCCCAGCACCCTGTACCCTGTGCCGGGTTGGGCCTCCTTAGGCTGGAGAGAATCCAGGACTGGCCTGGCCTGGCCCTGACCTTCCACTCTCTCCAGGCCAGCCACTCTGGTGATGCCTACTTCTTATTTGTGGCAGCAGACGGAATAATAGCAGTTGTCTAAGGGAGATTTTAGAAGCATTGGGTGCAGACAGACACTGAAACCCTGGAACTGTCCACACCCTGACCACCAGCCCCATCATGCCCTCTTACCCTGTGGCCTGCTGTCCCCAAGTCAGTCTTCACCCCTGACTCATTCTGCAGTCACATCAACTCACTTCTCCATCCTGGGTCTCAGAGGTTGAGTTTCCACCCTTGCGTGAAGAAGCCTGTCCTGTCAGCCTACAACACCTTACAGGGGTGAAGAAGAAGGAACCAGAAGTCCAGGGCCCGCTCTGCTGGTGGCACGCACTCGGGCTGAGGCCAGGGGCTGTGCCGGGGCATCACCCCGGGCCTGTGCGTGATAGAAAACCTCAGTCCTTGGGGAGTGGGAGACTGTAGCATCTGAGGTGGGCTCTGAAGGACGGGGAGGTCCTTGGCAAGTACAGGCTGGGGGTGAGCAGAGGGGCCTTCTGTGCAGGGGGGATAGGAGGGACCAAGCCCTGGGGTGTGAAGAGTCTGGTTTGTAGGAAGATGGAGGCGAAGTGTGAGTGGGAGCAGGAGATTGTCTCCTCTGGTGTTGCTTTCCCTTCCAGCCCCGCCCCAAATCGGGACATGCTGGGCCCTGGAGGTGCGGGCAGAGGCGAGGCCACCCCTATCCCAGCCCCTGTGTGAAGAGAAGGCAGGTTGTGCACACAGTAGCCTCCCCGGCCCCGGCAGGGTGTCACAGCACGGGGGTAGGGAAGGGGCACTCCAGGCAGAGGGGCAGCCCAAGCAAAGGTGAAATGCCCCCGGAATGCAGTGTGTGGGGGAGAGCTGGCTGGGGGAGTGTGGGCCGTGTGGGAGCCCCACATCCCTGCCCTTCTCTGGGAGGCCTGCATTCGTGTGGCAGGTGTGGTATAAGTGGAGGAATGCGGGCATCCAGTCCCGAGAGGCCCACGGTGGAGGTGGTGAGGAACGTGGGGACCTGAGTGCCGGCCTGGGGGAGCTTGGAGTTCCTGCTGAGGGCAGTGGGGAGCCACAGAAGGTCTTGACCAGGATGGCGACAGAATTGTATGTTGTGTGTTAGTTGGAATCTGGGGGAGAGGGGAGGCAGAGAGGCCCGTGAGGAGGCTGCTGCCTTGGCCCCATCTGCGGCTGTTGCGGAAGGCAGACGTGGGGAGGAGGACACACTCATGAGAAACGTTTAGTTTCCTGGCCAGGCACGGTGGCTCACGCCTGAAATCCCAGCACTATGGGAGGCCAAGGCGGGCAGAGCACTTGTGATCAGGAGTTCAAGACCATCCTGGCCAACACGGTGAAACCCCGTCTCTACTAAAAATACAAAAATGAGCCAGGCATGGTGGTGCGCACCTGTAATTCCAGCTACTTGGGAGGCTGAGGCAGGAGAATTGCTTGAACCCAGGAGGCAGAGGTTGCAGTGAGCTGAGATCACACCACTGCACTCCAGCCTGGAAGACAGAGAGAGACACCGTCTCAAAAAAAAAAAAAAGGCCAGGCGCAGTGGCTCAAGCCTGTAATCCCAGCACTTTAGGAGGCCAAGGTGGGCAGATCATGAGGTCAGGAGATCGAGACCATCCTGGCTAACACAGTGAAACTCCGTCTCTACTAAAAACACAAAAAATTAGCTGGGCATGGTGGCGGGTGCCTGTAGTCCCAGCTACTCGGGAGGCTGAGGCAGGAGAATGGCGTGAACCCGGGAGGCGGAGCTTGCAGTGAGCCGAGATTGCGCCACTGCACTCCAGCCTGGGCGACAGAGCGAGACTCCGTCTCAAAAAAAAAAAAAAAAAAAAAAAAAATATATATATATATATATTTAGTTTCCAGCACACAGTAGTGCTCAAGGCCTGTTGGCCTTTCTTGTTATTAGGGAGATGAAGGGTGAGGGAGAGAGATGGGCTCAGCTGACTGTGAGGTTTGGGGTGGAGTTGATGAGGCTCCGTGTAGAAGATCGAGGTGGGGGGACTGCGGCTGGCTGCAGATGGCTCTGAGGCACAGTCCTCCCACGAGGCCCCGCTGGGTGTTCTGGGCGGGGTGTCGGGACCCCTGCATCTAGCCCCACTTCTTCAGCTCCTGGTATCAGTGTGGGCAAATCATGCCCCATGGGCCTCGGTTTCCTAAATTGGGAATCGTGGTACTTATTGTACTGTGAGAATGTGAGTTGAAATTGCCCGGTGTGCTGGGGGAGACAGAGGGTTGAGGGGAGACAGTGGTGGCTGACAGGATGGAGGGGGATCTCGGTCTGACTCAGCAGGCCTCCGTGGCTGGGGACAGCTCAGAGAGGTGGTCCTGTGGGTAGTGTGGTGACAGACACTGGTGTAGCTATGTCTGTAAGTCAGACAACACGGGAGGGGGGATTGGGAGGGAGGGCCAGCCCTCGCCTGTGGTTATAACTCTCTCCAACCTCAGCCTCCACGTGCTGAGCCTCCTGCGTCAGACCTGGGGCCGCGTATCGCCCCATTTGATCTGCACAGCCCCATGTCCCAGAGGGGAGACGGAAGCGAGGTGCCAAGCCCAGGGTCCTTCAGTGACTCCAAGGCAGTGAGGATTTGAACTCAAGACCATCTACCAAGACAATGCTGTTTTCTGAGTCCTGGTGGGAAATGCAACAGGAGGTGGTTTCCTGATGGAGGCGCAGCTCAAAGGCAAACTGTTGGGCCTGGGGCGAGTCCAGTCTGAGGAAACAAGCTGAGCCAGGCCTGGCAGACCTGGGCACCAGCTGGCTCTCAGGGAAAGCCCAGCAAATACAGCGAACTACCCCACCACACACACACACACACACACACGGATGCACACACACACACACACGGATGCACACACATGGATGCACACACAGGGATGCACACAGGGATGCACACACACGGATGCATACACAGGGATGCACAAACACGGATGCACACACACAGATGCACACACGGATGCACACGCACACACGCGCACATGGATGCACACACGGATGCACACACAGATGCACACACGGATGCACACACGCACACACAGGGATGCACACACGGATGCACACACACGGATGCACACACACGGATGCGCATACACAGATGCACACACACGGATGCACACGCACACGGATGCACATGGATGCACACACACAGATGCACACATGCACACACAGGGATGCACACGGATGCACACAAGCACACACGGATGCACACACATGCACACACGCACGTACACAGTCTCATGCCACCGTGCCTCTGCGGCAGGCTCTTGCTGACCTAGTTACCAGCCCTGTAAGCAGAGCCCTGCTCCAGCTCAGTGAGCCGCCGCACGGCAGGAGCAGTGCCCAGCTTCTTGAGGCCATTTGTGACCCTGGCCTCTCTCTGTTTACCAACCCCTCGGTGCCTCCAGCTATTACTAAAGGCTTTGAAATCGGGCATAAACACAGAATCTGAGCCCCAGACACAAATATTCAATCTTCCGACGGGCCATGCACAAACCACACCCCTCTCTGAGCCTCAGCACCTAGCGTGGTGCCTGGAAGGCAACAGGTGCTCTGGGGGAGCGGAACCCTCAGTTGAACAAGATCTCTGTTGAACAAAGTGAACACAGGGGTGGGGTGGCGTGAGGAAAGGGAATATCTGGCCCACTCTGACCTTTTTAGAGCACCTTTTTTGGGTGGGCCTGGCCCTGCGCTGAGCTGGGCTCTGTGGCTGGGGGTGTTGTGTGTGACTCAGATCACATCACAGTTCAGGGCAGACAAACTGAATCACAGATCACCCTGATCCAGACAGAATTTGGTCACAGCCAGACAGACCACAGGATGCTGAGGGGGCTCAGGGTTTGGTCAGAGCCAGACAGACCACAGGGTGCTGAGGGGGCTCAGGGACCCGGGAGTTACTCTGACTGAGTCTGGATTGGCTCCTGGCTCCTGGCTGGCTGAGCAGGGCCACAAAAGACGGGCTTTGCAGACAGAGGTGGAGAGTGCTGAGCAGGCCTGCTGGGTGGAGGGAGCCGCTGTGTCGAGGCCTGGAGGCAGGAGTGTGCAGAGGGTGCGCCGGGCAGAGCGGGGGGGTGCCACGGACGCCCAGGAGAGGAGACTGGACTTTGCTCTGCGGCCTCCACTCGTGCCTTTTCAGTTATACCGACAGTGAAACGGGGGGAAGAAGGCCCCCCACCCACCCCTCGTAACATGTTGGCAGCTCGCACTTTTTAATTCTCCTCTAGGCAGTTTGCTGACGTCCTGTTTTTTCCCCAGAGTGACTGACCAGGAGGCACAGGGCTCAACGTGACGTGGGCCCCGGGGCCGGAGCCCAGACTCCCTACTGGGCGTCCTTTATCTCAGTTCTGGATTCGTGGGGGAGCAGCGGGAACAGTACGGCCTTCTTCCCTGCCTAGGGGTCTTGATCTGGAACCTTTGAGAGTCTATGTAGGCTGTAAGTGGCCACTCTCCCAGCACCTACCGAGGGTGGGCCACCATGCCAGGCCCTGAGATAATGTGGCGATCGAGGCAGATGCAGTGTGTGCCCCCTTGGACTCACTGGTGGCAGGGGGCAGTCACTGGCAATAGGGAAACAAGGAAGGCCAAGCACAGTGGCTCACTCCTGTAATCCCAGCACTTAGGGAGGCCAAGACTGGAGGATCACTTGAGCCCAGGAATTTGAGTCCAGCCTGGACAACATAGCAAGACCCCCATCTCTACAAAAAATTTAAAAAAAAATTAGAGGCCAGGCACGGTGGCTCACGCCTGTAATTCCAGCACTTTAGGAGGCCGAGGCGGGCGGATCACAAGGTCAGGAGTTCAAGACCAGCCTGACCAACATGGCAAAACCCCGTCTCTACTAAAAATACAAAAATTAGTCCGGTGTGGTGGCAGGTGCCTGTAATCCCAGCTACTTGGGAGGCTTAGGCAGGAGAATCGCTTGAACCCAGGAGGCGGAGGTTGCAATGAGCCGAGATCGTGCCATTGCACTCCAGCCTGGGCGACAATAGCAAGACTCCATCTCAAAAAAAAAAAAAAAAAAAAAAGGATGAAGAGGAAGCCAGGAGACAGGCTGAGGACAGAGCACTTCAATCAGGCAAGGGGAGGATTTTGTACACATGTGCACTCAGGGGATCAGGAAGGGCTCCAATGCTTCCATCAGATTCTCAAAGGGGGCCAGGTGCAGTGGCTCACACCTGTAATCCCAGCACTTTGGGAGGCCAAGGTGGTGGATCACGAGGCCAGGAGTTCGAGACCATCCCGGCTAACACGGTGAAACCACATCTCTACTAAAAATACAAAAATTAGCCAGGAGTGCTGGCATGTGCCTGTAGTCCCAGCTACTCCAGAGACCCAGTATTTTGAGTCCTGGCCTACACTCGGTAGGTGCTGGGAGAGTGGCCACTTACAGCCTACATAGACTCTCAAAGGTTCCAGATCAAGACCCCTAGGCAGGGAAGAAGGCTGTACTGTTCCTGCTGCTCCCCCACGAATCCAGAGCTGAGATAAGGGATGCCCAGTAGGGAGTCTGGGCTCCGGCCCCAGGGCCCACGTGAGACAGGAGAATCACTTGAACTGAGGAGGTGGGGGTTGCGGTGAGCCAAGATCACACCATTGCAGTCCAGCCTGGGTGACAGAGTGAGACTCCAACTCAAAATGAAGAAAAAAAGGCCGGGCATGATGGCTCACACCTGTAATCCCAGCACTTTGGAGGCTGAGGCAGGTGGATCAGGACGTCAGGAGATGGAGACCAGCCTGGCCAATATGGCGAAACCCCATCTCTACTAAAAATACAAAAAATTAGCTGGGCATGGTGATGGGCACCTGTTTTCCCAGCTACTCAGGAGGCTGAGGCAGGAGAATCGCTTGAACCCGGGAGGCGGAGGTTGCAGTGAGACGAAAGTTGTGCCACTGCATTCCAGCCTGGGCGACAGAGTGAGACTCTGTCTAAAAAAAAAAGAAAAAAGAAAAAGATTCTCAAAGGGATCCATTACCCCCAAACAAGAACGTCTGGTCTGGTTATGTTTCCTGTGTTTTCTACTTTGGGGCATTGGCAGGGAGGACACAAATCACAGGTCTGCAAAAGCTGGGGTGCAGGGTTTCTTCATTGTGTTCTCACAAAGGACCCTTAGGGACAGTTTTTTCTCTGATTTGAATAACCAGACTGGTTGTGCTTTGCCTGGAAGTGTTTTGTTTTTTGAATTTTGTGGACACCGCATGGCATTAACTGATCTTTTTCATGTTGATATCACCTTCAAGAAAGCTTCATTCATTCATGTATGCGTTGAATCAACAAATGATTTTATTAAGCCAAAGGATTTTAGGAACACTTCTGTGAGCCAGCGCTGTGTTCAGAGCCAACAGTGGGGCACGTGATAGAAAGTGCTGGCACTGCGTGATCTACATGTTAGCTGTTGGCCTCCTTCCTGGCTTGTTGTATCCCCCTCTTTTTTTAAACCATCATTTTCCTTCTGTTCTTTTTTGCCTGCCCCATTATTTTAAGCGAGTTTTATCTTACCTGTATTATGTATTTTTATGAATCACCACAAATCATTCCAGGCGAGGCAGAGATGTGAAGAAAAAGGAATAAAATATAGATATCAGGCCGGGCGCGGTGGCTCACGCGTGTAATCCCAGCACTTTGGGAGGCCAAGGCGGGCGGATCACCTGAGGAGTTCAATACCAGCCTGGGCAATATGGTGAAACCCCACCTCTACTAAAAATACAAAAATTATCCAGGTGTGGTGGTGCGTGCCTATAATCCCAGCTACTCAGGAGGCCGAGGCAGGAGAATCGCTTGAACCCGGGAGGCAGAGGCTGCAGTGAGCCGAGATCGCGCCACTGCCCTCCAGCCTGGGCAACAGGGCCAGACTCCATCTCAAAAAATAAATACATAAATAAAATAAAATTAAATATAGATATCTACTTTGTGCCAGACTCAGGGAAATGGCCTTAAATGCAGGGATGAGAGATCCAGAGCCTGGCCTCAGAGCCATCTCCCCAGGTTCCTCCTCCTCCTCAAGTCTGGAAGGTTGATTTTTGGATAATAAAATTTTAAGCATGTACACAGGTAAACGAGATAACTATAACAAAGCCAATATGTCCATCAAGCGGATGACACAATGATCAAGATCCTGCCACACAAGCTGAATGTATTTTGTGTTCCCCTTTTCATTTTTGTTGTCAAGGTATTTAAAGCCTGGCTGCTCAAAATGTGACCTGAGGACCAGCAGTGAGAGCATCGTCTGGGAGCTTGTTGGAACAGACTCCCAGCCCCATTCTGATTCATTATCTGCTGAGTCAGAATCTGCATTTTAACAAGATCTCCGATGACTCATTTGCACGCTAATGTTTCAGAAACAGTATTTTAAACCCCAAACATCGTGTCATTTCACTCCCAAAAAACATGGACATTTTCATTTCTAAAGAACATGAAGGGCCGGGCGTGGTGGCTCACACCTGTAATCCCAGCACTTTGGGAGGCTGAGGCTGGTGGATCACCTGAGGTCAGGAGTTTGAAATCAGCCTGGCCAACATGGCGAAACCCCATCTCTACTAAAAGTACAAAAATTAGCCAGGCATGTTGGCACACCCCTGTAATCCCAGCTACTCAGGAGGCTGAGGCAGGAGAATCACTTGAATCCGGGAGACAGAGGTTGTAGTGAGCTGAGATCGCACCACTGCACTCCAGCCTGGGCAACAGAGTACGACTCAGTCTCAATAATAAAGAACGTGGACATTTTCTTAAATAGCCACAATGTTCTTACCACCTAACTAAATTAATTCTTTGGTATCATCTAATACCAAATACTTAGTCCATATACAAATCTCTCTGTCTCAAAATGTCTTTTTTTTTTTTTTTTTTGAGACAGAGTCTCGCTCTGTCGCCCAGGCTGGAGTGCAGTGGCGCGATCTCTGCTCACTGCAAGCTCTGCCTCCTGGGTTCACGCCATTCTCCTGCCTCAGCCTCCCAAGTAGCTGGGACTAGAGGCGCCCACCACCACGCCTGGCTAATTTTTTTGTAGTTTTAGTAGAGAAGGGGTTTCACCGTGTTAGCCAGGACGGTCTCGATCTCCTGACCTCGTGATCTGCCTGCCTTGGCCTCCCAAAGTGCTGGGATTACAGGCGTGAGCCACCATGCCCGGCCTCCAAATGTCTTTTTAACAGTTGGTTTGTTCAAAGCAAGATCCAAACAAGGTCCGCACATGACATGCGGTTGCTGTGGCTCTCCGTCTGGAGTGCACCCCCATCCCCATTTTCTGCTTTCATGCCTTTGATTTATGGCAGAGTTTGGTCACGTGTGTTGCAGAATATCTATGTTCAGGATTTGTGTGTTTGCTTCCTCTTGGTGTGATTTGTCTTTTTATTCCCCAAACTGCCTGAAAACTGGAAGTTTAACGTCAGGTTTCAGTTCTGTGGCGAGCACACTCTAAGCAGTTGTGAGGATTTTGCCCCACTTCCTGCAGTTATTTCACCTCTTTTTCTTTTGTGTGTGTGTGTGTGTGTGTTTGTTTGAGACGGAGTCTTGCTCTATCACCAGGCTGGAGTGCAGTGGTGCGATCTCGGCTCACTGCAACCTCCGCCTCCCAGGTTCAAGCGAGTCTCCTGCCTCAGCCTCCCAAGCAGCTAGGACTACAGGCATGCGCCACTACGCCCAGCTAATTTTTGTATTTTTAGTAGAGATAGGGTTTCACTGTGTTGGCTGGGCTGGTCTTGAACTCCTGACCTCAGGTGATCCACCCATGTCGGCCTCCCAAAATGCTGGGATTACAGGCCTGAGCCACTGTGCCTGGCCCTTCTTTTTCTTTTCTTTGCTGAAGTGTTTTAAAGCCTTGGTACTCAGAATGTGGTCTGAAGACCTGCAGTGTGGGTGTCCCTTAGAATCTTGTTGGAAATGTAGTCTTGGGCCCTTAGATCCTTCCTAGAGTGTCACACCAAGAAGGACATGCCTGAGAGGCCCACTCCTAGGGATGCTAAGATTGACTAGTGGGCTCAGGTGGTGTCAGCCTAATTGTAAAGTTAGTCTATCAGACTCTCATTTAGAAGCTTTACCTGTTGATGATCCTGGCCTGAATTAATTATTGTATTTCATTAGGGCTCACAAAATAGTTTGGTTCTATTATTCTTCCTACATTTATTAGTAATAATTTATCCATAAAAAAGACGTTTTTCATGCCATTTTTATAAGGGCCAGATGAACAAATGAAAAATAAATTTAAGGCTGGGTGAGGTGGCTCACGCCTGAAATCCCAGCATTTGAGAGGCCAAGTGGGGGCAGATTACTTGAGATCAGGAGTTCAAGACCAGCCTGGCCAACAGAGTGAAACTCCATCTCTACAAAAAATACAAAATTGATCTGGGTGTGGTGGCACATGCCTGCAATCCCAGCTACAGGGGAGGTTGAGGCAGGAGAATCGCTTGAACCTGGGAGGCAGAGGTTGCAGTGAGCCGAGATTGCACCACTGCACTCCAGCCTGGGTGACAGAGCGAGACTCCATCTCAAAAAACAAAAAACAAAAAAAAAGAAGGAAAGAGAGAGAGGGAAGGGAGGGAGGGAGGGAGGGGGGAGGAAGGAAGGAAGGAAGGAAAACTTAAAAGACAAGAAGTACTTTTTCTCATTAACCAGGATGATTTGATGGCCCTGAAATGCACTTCATGTAGGAAAGGCAAGAAAAATGCTTAATACTTTTCCTAACAGTCAGTTTTCAGAGTAAAGAGATGGTGCCCTTTTTACTTCCATTGGTAGCAAATTTTCTTTTTCGTTTCTTTTTTTTGGAGACAGTCTTGCTTTGTCACTCAGGCTGGAGTGCTGTGGTGTGATCAAGGCTCACTGCAGCCTCAACTTCCTGGGCTCAAGTGATTCTCCCACCTCAGCCTCCCAAGTAGCTAGGACCACAGGCAGGCTCCACTGTGTGCAGCTAATTTTTTAATTTTTTTGTAGAAACGGAGTCTCACTGTATTGCCCAGGTTGGTCTTGAGCTCCCGAGTGTAAGTGATCCTCCCACCTCAGCCTCCCAAAGTGCTGGGATTACAGGCGTGAGTCACCTTGATTTCTTTTGTTTTTATTTTTCTCTCTCTTGTAAATATCATGAACTTATGAAAGTTTTATATATTCAGTGTGTTTCACATACTTGTAATTCTTATTCTAAAAAATATTTTAATTATAATTATTATTTTTAAATAATTATTTTAATAATTATTATTTTTAAATAATTATTTTAATAATTATTATTTTTAAATAATTATTTTAATAATTATTATTTTTAAATAATTATTTTAATAATTATTATTTTTAAATAATTATTTTAATAATTATTATTTTTAATGTAGACTTTTTAAAAGTACAACATACAGAAAAATGGACAAATTTAGATCAGTAAATGTTCATATTAAGTCACACCCGTATCAAGAAACAGAACAGGCTGGGCACAGTGGCTCACACCTGTAATCTCAGCACTTTGGGAGCCCAAGGTGGGAGGATCACCTGAACCTAGGAGTTCAAGACCAGCTTGAACAACACAGTGAAACCTCGCCTCTACCAAAAAAAAAAAAAAAAAAAAAAATTAGTCAGGTCTGGTGGCACAGGCCTATAGTCCCAGCTACTCGAAAGGCTGAGGCAGGAAAACCACTTGAGCCCAGGAAGTTGAGGCTGCAGTGAACTGTGATCACACCACTGCACTCCAGGCTGGGCAAAAGAGTGACAGCCAGTCTCAAAAAGCAAAAAAGAAAGAAAACATACTGTGTACAACCTTGGGGGCTAAAAAAATTTTTTTTGAACTTCATTAAACTTAAGAACATCTGTTTATCAAAAAAAAAAAAAAGTAAGTGAGTGAAAAGGCAAACCACAGAATAAGAAAATAATTGCAACACAAATTGATAAAAGATTAACTTCAGAATATGTAAAGAATTTCTACAAATCAATAAGAAAAAGGCATGTCCACAAACAGAAAAAGGACATTTCACAAAAGAGATTATCAAAATAGTCAGGAATCTTGTAAGGAGACTTCAGACGTCAGAGAAAGGCAAATTAAAACCAGGTGTGGTGGCTCACACCTGTAATCCCAGCACTTTGGGAGGCCAAGACGGGTGGATCACCTGAGGTCAGGAGTTCGAGAGCAGCCTGGCCAACATGGCGAAAAGCCCATCTCTACTAAAAATACAAAAATTACCCGGGCGTGGTGGCGGGCATCTGTAATTCCAGGTACTCAGGAGGCTGAGGCAGGAGAATCACTTGAACTCGAGAGGTGGAGATTGCAGTGAGCTGAGATTGTGCCATGGCACTCCAGCCTGGGCGACGGAGCAAAACTCCCTCTCAAAAAAAAAAAAAAAGAGAAAACCATTTGTCAGTATCCACTAAAGCTGAACATATGCTTAACAGGATCCAGAAGTTCCACGGTTAGACATATGCCCAACAGGAATGTGTTCATATGGTCATGAAGACGTCTGCAAGACACTCATAGCAGGCCAGACACAGTGGCTCACACCTGGAAACCCAGGGCTTTGGTATGCCAGGGCGGGAGGATTGCTTAAGGCCGGTGTATGAAATCAGCCTGGGCAACATAGCTAGACCCCACCGCTTTAATTCTTCATCAGATTAAAGAAATTCACAGCCGGGCATGGTGGCTCATGCCTGTAATCCCAGCACTTTGGGAGGCTGAGGTGGGCGGATCACCTGAGGTCAGGAGTTCAAGACCAGCCTGGCCAACATGGGGAAACCCTGTCTCTAATAAAAATACAAAACTTAGGCGGGTGTGGTGGCACATGCCTGTAATCCCAGCTACTTGGGAGGCTGAGGCAGGAGAATCGCTTGAACCAGGGAGGCGGAGGTTGTAGTGAGCCGAGATCACACCACTGCACTCCAGCCTGGGCGACAGAGTGAGACTCCATCTCAAAAAAAAAAGGAAAAAAAAATTCCCTCTGATTCCTGGTTTGCTAGGACTTTTTATCAGAAATTAGTCTTGGATTTTATCAGATGCCATTTTCTGCATCTATCATAATCATATGATTTTTAATCCTTTATTTCCTGTTGTAAGGAGTAAACTGATTATTTTAAATGTCAAACCACTCTTCCATTTCCGAAATGAACTCTGCTTGTTTTGATGTATCATGCTTTTTTTTTTTTTTTTTTTTTGAGATGGAGTCTCGCTCTGTCACCAGGCTGGAGTGCAGTGGCGCAATCTTGGCTGACTGCAACCTCCGCCTCCCGGGTTCAAGTGATCCTCCTGCCTCAGCCTCCCGAGTAGCTGGGACTACAGGTGTGCGCCACCACGCCCAGCTAATTTTTGCATTTTTAGTAGAGATGGAGTTTCACCATGTTGGCCAGGATAGTCTCAATCTCTTGACCTCGTGATCCGCTGGCCTTGGCCTCCCAAAGTGCTGGGATTACAGGCATGAGCCACTGCACCCGGCCGTATTATGCTTTTTATAATTCCCTGGATTTGATTTACTGGAATTTTGTGCAGCATTTTTGTATTTATGTTCGAGAGAGACGGTTGTTTCAATTTTCCTTTCATTTATTGTGCTTGCTGGATTTTAATATCAATGTTATACTGGCTTCATAAAATGACTGAAAAATGTTTTCTCATTTTCTATTCTCTAAAACAGTTTATATAAACTTGGCATTATTTCTCTTTAAATGTTTGGAAAAATTCGTCAGTGAAGCTATCTGGGCGTAGAGATCTCCCTAAGATTTTTAGTCATGAGTAAAATATCTTACTCAGGTGATACATTTCTTTTTTTGTTAGTTTTGGTGCATTTCTATTTCAAGGAATTTGTTCATTTCACCCAGATTGTCAAGTTTACTGGCATAAGGTTGGATATAACATCCTCTTACTTTTTTTTTTTTTTTTTTTTGAGATGGAGTCTCTCTCTGTCACCCAGGCTGGAGTGCAGTGGCGCGATCTCGGCTCACTGCAAGCTCCGCCTCCCGGGTTCACGCCATTCTCCTGCCTCAGCCTCCCGAGTAGCTGGGACTACAGGCGCCCGCCACCACGCCCGGCTAATTTTTTGTATTTTCAGTAGAGACGGGGTTTCACCGTGTTAGCCAGGACGGTCTCGATCTCCTGGCCTCGTGATCCGCCCGCCTCGGCCTCCCAAAGTTCTGGGATTACAGGAGTCAGCCACCTCGCCTGGCCCCTCTATTTTTTAAATGTCTTAGGATCTATTATGATGTCCCCCCTTTCTATTTTTTATTCATGTTGGTAATTTGTGTGTTCTCTTTTTTTTTTCTTGTTCAGTATTGCTAGTGATTTATCATTTTAAAAATCTTTAAAAAAAACTTCAGCATCATTAGTTTTCTCTACTGTAAGTTGGTTTGCTGTTTCATTGATACGTGTTCATATCTTTATTCCTTCCCGTACTTCCTTTAGGTCTGATTTGCTATTCCACTGTAATTTTATCTTTCACCCTGGGTTATTTAGAAATGCATTGCTTAATTTTCACGAGGTTCAGATTTTTCTAGTTTTCCTTCCTTCCTTCCTTCCTTCCTTCCTTCCTTCCTTCCTTCCTTCCTTCCTTCCTTCCTCCTTCCTTCCTTCCTTCCTTTCTTTCTTCTTTCCCAAGTCTCACTCTGTGCCTAGGCTGGAGTGCAATGGCACGATCTCGGCTCACTGCAACCTCCACCTCCCTGGTTCAAGTGATTCTCCTGTCTCAGCCTCCCAAGTGGTTGGGATTACAGGTGGCTGTCAGCATGCCTGCCTGATTTTTGTGTTTTTAGTAGAGATGGGGCTTCACCATGTTGGCCAGGGTGGTTTTGAACTCCTGACCTCAAGTGATCCGCCTGCCTCGGCCTCCCAAAGTGCTGGGGTTGCAGGCATGAGCCACCATGTCCGGCCATCTTTTCTTCCCTTTCTTTCTTTTTTCTTTTTTTTACATGGGGTCTTGTTCTGTCACCCAGGCTGGAGTGCAGTGATACAATCTTGGCTCACTGCAACCTCCACCTCCTGGGCTCAAGCAGTCCTCCCACCTCAGCCTCCTGAGTAGCTGGGACCATAGGTGCATGCCACCATTCCTGGCTAATTTTTTGTATTTTTGGTAGAGATGGAGTTTGGTATTTTTGTTAGATACCAGCCATGTTGCCCAGGCTGGTCTTGAACTCCTGAGCTTAAGCAATCTGCCTGCCTCAGTCTTCCACAGGGCTAGGATGACAGGCACGAGCCACTGTGCTGGACCTCTAGTTTTCTTTTTGTTATTGGTTTAGATTCTAGTATAGTCAGAGAACATATTCTGAGTTATTTCAATTCATTGATATTTATTGAGGCTTTAGCTTTGTGATCTAGCATATGGTCAATTTTGGTAAATGTTTCACGTGTACTTGAAAATAATGTTTCTGAGGGTGCGGTGGCTCACGCCTGTAATCCCAGCACTTTAGGAGGCTGAGGTGGGTGGATCACGAGGTCAAGAGATTGAGACCATCCTGGCCAACATGGTGAAACCCCGTCTCTACTAAAAATACAAAAATTAGGCGGGCATGGTGGCGCGTGCCTGTAGTTCCAGCTACTCGGGAGGCTGAGGCAGAAGAATCGCTTGAACCTGGGAAGCGGAGGTTGCAGTCAGCCAAGATTGCACCACTGCACTCCAGCCTGGTGACAGAGCCAGACTCCGTCTCAAAAAAAAAAGAAAAATGTTTCTTTTTCCATTGTTGGGTACAGAGTTTTGTCTGTCAGGTCAACTTTGCTAATTATGTTGTTCATATCTTCTATATCCTTGCTCAATTTTTGGTCTGCTTTTATTTTTATTTTTTTATTTTATTTTATTTTTTTGAGATGGAGTCTTGCTCTGTTGCCCAGGCGGGAGTGCAGTGGCGCAATCTCGGCTCACTGCAAGCTCCGCCTCCCGGGTTCACGCCATTCTCCTGCCTCAACCTCCCGAGTAGCTGGGACTACAGGCGCCCGCCACCACGCCCGGCTAATTTTTTGTATTTTTAGTAGAGACGGGGTTTCACCGTGTTAGCCAGGATGGTCTTGATCTCCTGACCTCGTGATCCGCCCGCCTCGGCCTCCCAAAGTGCTGGGATTACAGGCGTGAGCCGCCGCGCCCCGCTGGTCTGCTTTTATAGTTGACGTAAAAGGCTTAATTAAAGTGTTAAAGTCTCCCACTTTCATTGTAGTGTTTTGTATTTTTCCTTTTAATTCAGTCAATTTTTGCTTTTATATTTTGAAATGATGTTATTGGATAAATACAGATTTAAAATTGTCACATCTTCCTAGTGAATCAAAAACAACATATTTGTGTGCATATATCTCCTTCCCTTCCTTATACAGAAGCTAGTGTCGTTTATACACTTGTCCTTCATGTAGTGATTTTAATTTCTTCCTGAAATCTA
This sequence comes from Homo sapiens, assembly GCF_000001405.40. Taxonomy (NCBI): domain Eukaryota; kingdom Metazoa; phylum Chordata; class Mammalia; order Primates; family Hominidae; genus Homo; species Homo sapiens. Next base: position 3,783,696 of record NC_000017.11, on the reverse strand, counting down.
CTGCTGAGTAAACAGCCATTAATTGGAAAAAATATTTGCATCAATTTCATTAAAAAAATTGTGATGCATTCCAGCCAACCAAAGATACTCAAATGACTTTTACTGTTAGGAAAATGTATTAATTGACCAATAAAACAAGTTTAGATAAATAAAAACAATACTTTGAATATAAAAATACAGTTTCCGTATAAAATGTATTGTCATGAAGGTTTATTGGCCTCATTAAAAGGAGAAGACAAGATTTGACAGTGGGGGCTAGGCGCGGTGGCTCACGCCTGTAATCCCAGCACTTTGGGAGGCTGAGGCGGGCGGATCTCTTGAGGTCAGGACGAGTATGAGACCAGCCTGGCCAACATGGTGAAACCTCGTCTCTACTAATAATACAAAACTTAGCTGGGCATGGTGGCGGGCGCCTGTAATCCCAGCTACTCCGGAGACTGAGGCAGGAGAATTGCTTGAACCCAAGAGCCAGAGGTTGCGGTGAGCCAAGATCGCGCCACCGCACTCCAGCTTGGGCGACAGAGTGAGACTCCATCTCAAAAAAATAAAAATAAAAAATAAAGTCATAGCAAAAGTTACAGAGAAACACCTTGAGGGCAAAATAAATACTGAACCCAAAAGCACTTCCAAACACATGGAAATAGGCTGTGCGCTCATCGACTTCAGAATCATAGAATCTTCAGCCATCTCAATCGACATACATCAGCAAAAGCAGGCATATGGGATTTATCCAAACATGACATGCAACGCAGATTTGTTCCATATGATATTGTTGGACTAGAAACTGTTACATAGTAAGTAAATGGGTGAGTGTGTCTTCCCGTGAGAGTGCGATGTCAAATGTCATTCCTTATATCGTGTTTACTCAGTGTATTTAGAGACGAAAAAGTCACTAAACCAAAAAAAGGAGTGTTGCCAAGAAGTTGTATAGCTTTTCAAGAGTGTTTATGGCAAAAGTCGTTAATTGAACAGTAATTGAACAGGTAAGTCTGTAAACTGGACTTCACCTTGCTTTTTTCCCATGTAAATGTAGATTAGAGATGGGAGCAGTGGCTCACACCTGTAATCCCAGCACGTTGAACGGCTGAATCACCTGAGGTCAGGAGTTCGAGACCAGCCTGGCCAACACGGTGAAAACCTATCTCTACTAAAAATACAAAAATTAGCTGGGGGTGGTGGTGTGTACCTGTAATCCCGGCTACTTGGGAGGCTGAGGCAGGAGAATCGCTTGATCCTGGGAGGCGAAGGTGTCAGTGAGCTGAGATTGCACCATTGTACTCTAGCTCGGGCGACAAGAGCGAAACTCCATCTCAAAAAAAAAAAAGTACACACACACACACACACACACACACACACTAGAGATTTAAGCAATGGAGTGGCATGGTCAGACCATGCTTTTTTTTTTTTTTTTTTTTTTTTTTTGAGGCCGAGTCTCACTCTCTCACCCGGGCTGGAGTGCAATGGCGCGATGTCAGTTCACCGCAACCTGTGCCTCCCAGGTTCAAGCGATTCTCCCTTGTCAGCCTCCCGAGTAGCTGGGATTATAGGCACCCGCCACCATGCCCGGCTAATTTTTGTATTTTTAGTAGAGACAGTGTTTCACCACATTGGTCAGGCTGGTCTCAAACTCCTGACCTCAGGTGATCCACCGCCTCAGCCTCCCAAAATGTTGGGATTATAGGCATGAGCCACCGCACCCGGCCCAGACCATGCTTTTAAAAAATCTTTCTAGCATCTGATGTGGAGAGGATGTATCCAGAAGTACAAGTCTTGAAAGAGGCCAGGAGACTAACGTGTCCAAGCAAAAGACGATGAGGTCAGTGGGGCAGAGCTGAGTCCTGACAGAGGCCCAAATGTGCATGTGAATTCTGAGGATGATAAAGGTAGCATTTCCAAACTATGGGTTAAGAGGAGCTACTCAACAAATAATGATGAGACATTTCAACTGTGGGAAAAAAGTAAAGTTGTATCCCTATTTCACTCCAAATGTAAAAATAAAATCCAGATGGACAAAAGGTTCGAACATAAGAAATTAAAGAAGAGACCGGGCCTTGGCTCACGCCTGTAATCCCAGCACTTTGGGAGGCTGAGGCGGGCGGATCACCTGAGGTCAGGAGTTCAAGACCATCCTGGCCAACGTGGTGAAACCCCGTCTCTACTAAAATACAATATTAGCCGGGCATGATGGCGGGTGCCTGTAATCCCAGCTATTTGGGAGGCTTAAGAGGCTCAGATGGGAGAATCCCTTGAACCCGGGAGATGGTGGTTGCAGTGAGCCGAGATAGCGCCACTGCACTCCAGCCTGGGCGGCTCAGCGAGACTTTATCTCAAAAAAAAAAGAAAGAAAGAAAAAAGAAATGAAAGAAGAAAAAAAATATAGAAGGAAACATGAGTGGATGAAAAGAAATAGCCTGAGTGGAGGAGCATGACCCGAAGCTGAAGTCATAAAGGAAAAACAATATGACAACATCAAAAAACGTAGTTGTGGGGGAAAACAGCATATGCAAGACAAACAGCTGCGTGAGAAGCGGCATCTATAACACATTGCCTGTTTCTCTTGGATAGAGAAAAGCTCTTACAAATAAATAAGAAAGTAATATCGTTTCATGAAAATGAATAATGTACATGAGTAGGCAGTAAACAAACTTACAAAAAGAGACTTGACCTCACTCATAATTTAAAAATAGTTTTGGGGCTGAGCTTGTTGGCTGACGCCTATAATCCCAGCACTTGGGGAGGCTGAGATGGCAGGATTACTTGAGCCCAGGAGTTGGAGACCAGCCTGGGCAACATAGTGAGACACCATCTCTACAAAAAATTTTTTAAAAATTAGCCAGGCCTGCTGGTGCGCATCTGTGGTCCCAGCTACTTGAGAGGCTGAGGCGGGAGGATGGATTGAGCCCTGGAGGTAAAGACTGTAGGGAACCATGATCATGCCACTGCACTCCAGCCAGGGCAACAGAGTGAGATCTTGTCTCAATAAAATAAAAAGTAAAAAATATTTGGGAGGCTGAGGCGGGCGGATCATCTGAAGTCGGGAGTTCGAGACCAGCTTAACCAAAATGGAGAAACTCCGTCTCTACTGAAAATACAAAAATTGGCCGGGTGCAGTGGCTCACGCCTGTAATCCCAGCACTTTGGGAGGCCGAGGTGGGCGGATCAGCTGAGGTCAGGAGTTCGAAACTAGCCTGACCAACATGGAGAAACCCCATCTCTACTAAAAATACAAAATTAGGCCAGGCGCGGTGGCTCACGCCTGTAATCCCAGCACTTTGGGAGGCCGAGGTGGGCGGATCACGAGGTCAGGAGATCGAGACCAACCTGGCTTAACACGGTGAAACCCCCTCTCTACTAAAAATACAAAAAATTAGCCGGGCAGGCGCCTGTAGTCACAGCTACTCAGGAGGCTGAGGCAGGAGAATGGTGTGAACCTGGGAGGCAAAGCTTGCAGTGAGCTGAGATCTCGCCTCTGCGCTCCAGCCTGGGTGACAGAGTGTGACTCCATTTCCAAAAAAAAAAAAAAAACAAATAAACAAACAAACAAAAAAACCAAAAATTAGCCGGGCATGGTGGCACATGCCTGTAATCCCAGCTACTCGGGAGGCTGAGGCAGGAGAATCGCTTGAACCTGGGAGGCAGAGGTTGCGGTGAGCCGAGATCGTGCCACTGCACTCCAGCCTGGGCAACAAGAGCGAAACTCCATCTTAAAAAAATAATAATAATTTTGGAACAAGATGATGATATACTCTTAAAACAAGGATGAAAATGTCTTCACAGTCAGTCCAGGCAACACTGGGGGAGATAAACCTTCTCCCATGCTGTCGTTGGAGTATGAATTGGCAAAACCTCTTTGGGAGGTAATCTATCGATATCTATTTTTCCCCAAAAAATTTTAAATGAAAAATTTCAAATATATAGAAAAGTTGAAAAATTATATGGTGGACAACCACATCACTACACTTAAATTTGACAATTGTCAACACTTTTGAGTGTTTCTTTTATCACGTATATCTATCTACCCATCCAGCAAGCCATCTTATATTTTGATGCATTTTAAAGTAAATTGCACGCTGGATGTGGTGGCTCACACCTGTAATCCCAGCACTTTGGGAGGCCAAGGCAGGTGGATCACTTGAGGTCAGGAGTTCGAAACCAGCTCGGTCAACATTGTGAAACCCTGTCTCTACTAAAAATACAAAAAATTAGCCGGGCATGGTGGCAGGCGCCTGTAATCCCAGCTATGTGGGAGGCTGAGACAGGAGAATCGCTTGAACCCGGGACACAGAAGTTGTAGTGAGCCAAGATTGCACCACTGCACTCCAGCCTGGGCGACAGAGCAAGACCCCATCTCAAAAAAAAAAAAGAAATTAATAAAAATAAATTGCTGACTTAAGTATAATTCAACTCTAAACATTTCAGCATACATATCAACAAAATGTGTTTGTGCTTCTTCTTTAAGGTAATATTTACATACAGTGACATGCACAAATTCTAAGTGGACCATTCATTGCGTGTGTTCTGACACATGCACACCTTGGTAATTCAAACACCTATCAAGATATAGAATATTTTCATCATTCCAGAAAGTTCCTTCTAGTCCCTTCCCAGTTAGTCCCATCCTCTCAAGCATTTTTTTTTTTTTACTATAGGTTAGTTTTGCTGGTTCTAGAACCTCATATAAATGGAGTTATACAATATGATTTTTATTGCCTTAGCTTAACAAATCTGCTGTGCTCTGTTTGAATTCCCTTTCCCTACATCAGGGTCATAAAATTCCTCCAGAAAGAAAGCTGAGGGTAACGACAGGGCTCGTGTTATTTGTCCATGTTTTCTAGAGATCACTGTCCTGCTCTGCCCATTGTCAAATGTCTGAAAACATTTTATAGGTTTTGTCCAGTATTCTAGTTGTTTATGGTGAAAGAATTAGTCCAGTACCAATGATTTCTTCATGGAAAGGCCAAATAAGGGACACTTTGAGAACCAATATAGTGATAACAGATTATAACCATTGAATAAAATAGAATTCATGAGCCTATTCTGCTGTAAATAAAAAAAATCACACATAAATGAGAAGAAAGAAGGAAGACCTAAGGCTTCTGTCACTCAGCATAATGATATTTGTTGTTGTTGTTTTGAGACGGAGTCTTGCTCTGTTGCTCAGGCTGGAGTGCAGCGGTGCAATCTCGGCTCACTGCAACCTCTGCCTCCCAGGTTTAAGCAATTCTCCTGCCTCAGCCTTCTGAGTAGCTGGGATTACAGGAACGTGCCACCGCGCCCAGCTAATTTTTGCGTTTTTCGTAGAGACAGGGTTTCATCATGTTGGCCAGGCTGGTCTCGAACTCCTGACCTCAAGTGATCCAGCCGCCTCGGCCTCCCAAAGTGCTGGGATTACAGGCATGAGCCACTGGCGCGCGGCCAGCATAATGATTTTTGGGATTCATCACGCTGCTGTATCTGTTGTTGACTCCTCTTTACTCCTGAGTAGGATTCTACTGTAGGAATATACCACAGTGGGCTTTTCCAGTCTCCTGTTGATGGACATTTGGGTTGTTTGCAGTTTGGGGCTCTTCCGAATAAAGCTGGTATAAAACATTCTTGTGCAGGCAGTTTTGGGGATACGTTTTCTCGTGGGTCGCTTGAAGGGGGTACATAGAACATACACAGGCCCTCTTCCTGGGGCTCACAGTCTACTGTAACTTCAGTACAAGACGCAGTGACGTGAGTACACGCTGTGTGTCAGGTGCAGAAATGACAGTAAGAGGCGTGAGGAGGTGGGAAGTGCTTCTTTGGGGAGAGCTAGGGGCGGCTTCTTGGAGGAGGGGGGCTCGGGTACTGGTACAGCTTGGTTTAGTAGGAGGATCAGAGGCTCTGGGTCAGATACACCTGCGTCTAGTCTTTCTCTCTCACACACACATAAAGATCCCTGGGCAGTCTCACTTTTCTCAGCTGTAAAACGGGGTTCATGACACCACAGGATTTGCTGGAATAACGGGAGTAAAAGGCCTCTTTCATTAAACGCTCCTCTTTTCCCTACAGGCCTGGCCCTGCTGGCCGCTTTCAATGTGGATGTGGCCCGGCCCTGGCTCACGCCCAAGGGAGGTGCCCCTTTCGTGCTCAGCTCCCTTCTGCACCAAGACCCCAGCACCAACCAGACCTGGTGAGTAGGGCCGGTGGGCAAGAGGCCTTCAGACTGAGGGGCTTCCAGGCAATCTGAGATGGGCCCCAGAGACGGCCATGGCAGCCCACCCCACCCCACCGTCAGGAGAGGAACTCCTTTCTCTTTCAGAAGGGCATGCAGGAGAAAGAGAGAAGGTGTGAGAGAGGCTGTGGGCATCGGGCTGGTCTGTGGGGTCCACGGAACCCCAGCCTCACGCCTCACTGGGCCTCTCCCTGCTCCATTGCCCAGGGGGAGGGTGGACTTAAAGACAATTTTAGTGGCCGGGCACGGTGGCTCACGCCTGTAATCCCAGCACTTTGGGAGGCCGAGGCGGGCGGATCACGAGGTCAGGAGATTGAGACCATCCTGGCTAACACGGTGAAACCCTGTCTCTACTAAAAAATAGAAAAAATTAGCCAGGCGAGGAGGCGGGCGCCTGTAGTCCCAGCTACTCAGGAGGCTGAGGCAGGAGAATGGCGTGAACCCGGGAGGCGGAGCTTGCAGTGAACCGAGATGGCGCCACTGCACTCCAGCCTGGGCGACAGAGCGAGACTCCGTCTCAAAAAAAAAAAAAAAAGACAATTTTAAAATAAAGCATATTAAGGCTCTTTTGTTCCTTATGGAAGTAACACATGTTCAATATAGAACATTTGGAAACAAAAAATAACAAAGAAAAAACTGGGCCTGGCACCGTGGCTCACGCCTGTAATCTCAACACTTAGGGAGGCTGAAGCTGGAGGATTTCTTGAGGCCAGGAGTTCAAGACCACCCTGGGCAACATAGTGAGACCCCCCCAACTCAAAAAAAACCAAAAACTGTCTGGGCATGGTGGTGCCTGCCTGTAGTCTCAGCTACTTGGGAGGCTGAGGCAGGAGGACCACTTGGGCCCGGAGGCCGAGGCTGTAGGGAGCCGTGATTGCACCACTGCACTCCGGCCTGTCTCCAGAACAAAAACCCTGAAACTATGAGGAACAAGCGTGTACTGGTAAGAGGCAGGCTGTGGCTCTGGCAGCCAGGGTTCAGTGGCAGCTTCACCGTGGATTTGCCGCATAGCCTGAGCAAGGTGCTCGGGCCTGAGCTTCAGTTTCCCTTCTCTGCAGTCAGCGTGGGGAACTACCTACTTCACAGGATTGTCGCAAAGACTATTTGAGATAATGCATGTAAAGGGCTTAGCACAGGTTCTGCCGGGCGCGGTGGCTCACGCCTGTAATCCCAGCACTTTGGGAGGCCGAGGCGGGCGGATCATTTGAGGTCAGGAGTTGGAGACCAGCCTGGCCAACATGGTGAAACCCCGTCTCTACTAAAAATACAAAAATTATCTGGGCGTGGTGGTACACGCGCGTAGTCCCAGCTACTCGGGAGGCTGAGGCAGGAGAATTGCTTGAACCTGGGAGGTGGAGGTTGCAGTGAGCCAAGATCGTGCCATTGCACTACAGCCTGGGCGACAGAGCAAGACTCCGTCTCAAAAAAAAAAAAAAAAAAAAAGGGCTTAGCACAATTTCTGGCCACATTAATGCTCAATAAACATTACTTTACATTTTTTAAATATCATCTATACCCACCTATTAGATAAGCAAAATGTAAAATCTGCCAACATTGCTGGTAAGGTTGCGGTGAAACAGGGACGTGTGGGAGTGTGAATTGCGATCACCACCTTGGAGAGCAATTTTGCCGTATCTGGTAAAGCTGAGGATGCACGTGGCCTCTGACACTTCCACTCCCCGATCCCAGCTCTAGAGAAATTCTCAGACACATATAAAAATGTTTGTGTGCCGGGCGCAGTGGCTCACACCTGTAATCCCAGCACTTTGGGAGGCCGAGGCCGGTGGATCACCTGAGGTCAGGAATTCGAGACCTAGGCTGGCCAACCTGGCGAAACCCCGTCTCCACTAAAGATACAAAAAAAAAAAAAATTAGCTGGGTGTGGTGGCGGGCGCCTGTAATCCCAGGTTCTTGGGAGGCTGAGGCAGGAGAATTGCTTGAACCCAGGAGGTGGAGGCTGCAGTGAGCCGAGATCGTGCCATTGCACTCCAGCCTGGGTGACGGAGCGAGACTCTGTCTCAGAAAAAGAAAAGCAAGCAAAAAATGTTTGTGGTAGCATTGTTTGGAATCATGAAAGACTGGCAATATTCCTCTTAGGAAAATGGGAAAAATACTGATATGACTCATGCAATGCAATACTAAAAGCAGATCCCCTGAATGAAGCCAGTGCAATGGTTGTTTACCTGGATCCATCTGGAAACATACCGTGAGTTGAAAAAGGCAAGTTGTAGAATTTAATATACAAAGGTTGGCAGGTGCAGTGGCTCACCTGTAATCCTAGCACTTTGGGAGGTCAAGGCGGGTGGATCACATGAGCCCAGGAGTTCGAGACCAGCCTGGGTAACACAGTGAGACCCTGTCTACAAAAAATATAAAAAAATCAGCCGGATATGGTGGTTTAAGCCTGTAGTCCGTCCCAGCTATTGGGAGGCTGAAGTGAGAGACCTGCCTGAGCCCGGGGGCGGGTGAGTCGAGGCTGCAGTGAGCCGCGATTGTGCCACTGCACTTCAGCCTGGGTGACAGAACGAGACCCTGTCTCAAAAAAAAAAGAAGCAAGTAAGTAAAATATGCATTCCCTCAGATGGCGATGGTGGCCGCGTGCTGATGTAGGAGTGTGTCTGCAGTTAGGAGAAGCTCTGGTGGAAAGGGTCATGAGATCCGAGGCTCATTTGAATTTCCCATGTGTCACCAAAATGACTTTTATTTATTTCTTTACCTATTATTTATTTATTGGAGACAGAGTCTTGCTCTGTCACCCAGGCTGGAGTGCAGTGGTGTAATCTCAGCTCACTGCAACCTCCGCCTCCTGGGTTCAAGTGATTCTCCTGCCTCAGCCTCCTGAGTAGCTGGGATTACAGGCGCCCGCCACCACGCCCAGCTAATTTTTTGTATTTTTAGTAGAAACAGGGTTTCGCCACGTTGGCCAGGATGGTCTTGAACTCCTGACCTCAAATGACCTGCCCACTTCGGCCTCCCAAAGTGCTGGGATTACAGGCATGAGCCACCGCACCTGGCCCCAAAATGACTTCTAGTGCTGTGTTGTTTTAAAGCCAGATCTGGTCAAGGTTTATGTATTACGTATTGCTGTTATGTCTCTGTCATTGATTTCAATCCAAAGCAGTGATTTCTCCCCCATTTTTTTCTGGGTGGTCATAGGGCTTTTCTTGTGCATACTCTCCCACTGAGCGGGCCCAGCCTAGGATGGTTACCTCCTCATCCCACCCCAGCCCACCAGATTGCTTTGCTCCTGGTCAGTGGTCAAGGGTTTCCTTCACACCCAGCACACAGGAGCAAGTGAGCCCAGGGTTCAAACAGGCACTGGGGCAGAGCCAGGTGAGGAGCCAGGGTTCCTGGCTGGGCAGGGCGGGAGCTTTGCTTGAATAGGATGGGTGGGCAGTGGTGGCTCCCGAAGCAGCCTCATAGGCCCTGGGACTTGGGCCTTGACCCTGACAGCCAGGCAGACTTGGATCCTGTGATACTGTGAAATGTATATTTGACATTCCAAGACTGAATATATATTTTACAATATAACAAATAAAAATATATTTGGTCTCAAAATAAACATTTGGTCCCATTATCTGGCATACATGCCTAAAATCTCTGGAATCTCCAAAGTAATAAATGTCTTTTTCTTTGTTAATGAGTTGACGGGGGACCGGCAGCCCCCAGATAGCTTCAAAATGGGGGCTGGTCACTGGAGAGAACCAGGCACGATCAGAGGGTTGGGACTTTCAGCCCCACACCCCTCTTCTGGGAGAGAAGGGCTGAAGGTTTAGTTGATCACCAGCGGCCAGTGATTCAATGAGTCATGCCTATGTAATGAGGCCTCCATAAAACTCAAAAGGACAGGGTTTGGGGAGCTTCTGGGTAGCAGAACATGTGGAAGTTTCTGGAGGGTGGCCCCCGAGAGGGCATGGAAGCTTTGCCCCTCACCCCCACTTTGCCCCTCACCCCCACTTTGCCTTATGCATCTCCTCATCTGTATCCTTTGTAATATCTTTTTTTTTTCTTTTTGAGGCAGAGTCTTGCTCTGCCACCCAGGCTGGAGTGTGGTGGCATGCTCTCGGCTCACTGCAACCACTGGGTTCAAGCGATTCTCCTGCCTCAGCCTCCCTAGTAGCTGAGATTACAGGCGCCTGCCACCACGCCCATCTGAGTTTTGTATTTTTAGTAGAGACGGGGTTTCACCAATGTTGGCCAGGCTGGTCTCGAACTCCTGACCTCGTGATCCGCCCGCCTCGGCCTCTCAAAGTGCTGGGATTACAGGCGTGAGCCAAGGCACCTGGCCTGTAATATCCTTTATAATAAACCAGTAAATGTCGGTAAGTGCTTCTCTGAGTTCTCTGAGCCACTCTAGCAAATTAAGCCCAAGGAAAGGGTCCCAGAAACCCTGATATGGTTGTTTGGTCGAAAGCACAGGTGAAATAACCGGCGGCTGGTGATGGGCCTCGGAAGTTAGGAGCAGTCTTGTGGGACTGAGACCTCGACCTGTGAGGGCTGATGCTACCTCCAGGTGGAGCATGTCGGAATTGAGTTGAACGTGAGGACCTTCAGCTGGAGCTGGTTGCCGAAGGACTGCTTGCCCCGTGTGGAGGGAAAACCCCACCCACCTGGGGTCACTGGACTGTTCTGTGTTGTGAGAGCTGCAGGGGAGACAGAGCTCGACGTTTCCTACATCATTAGAGAGTCCTTTCTGGATCCTGGTTTCATCGGTGCAGTCAAAAGTCTGGTCACTGCCAGGCGCGGTGGCTCACGCCTGTAATCCCAGCACTTTGGGAGGCTGAGGCGGGCAGATCATTTGAGGTCAGGAGTTTGAGATCAGCCTGGCCAATATGCTGAAGCCTTGTCCCTACTAAAAATACAAAAATTATCTGGGCGTGGTGGCGCGCACCTGTAGTCCCAGCTGCTTGGGAGGCTGAGGCAGGAGAATGGCATGAACGCGGGAGGCGGAGCTTGCAGTGAGCCGAGATCGCGCCACTGCACTCCAGCCTGGGCGACAGTGAGACTCCGTCTCAAAAAAAAAAAAAAAAGTCTGCTCACCATTAGATTTAAGTGGTAAGGATGGGGCCAATTCATTCATTCATTCATTCATTCATTCAGCAAGTATGGATGGAGCACTTACTCAGTGCCAGGCAATATTTGGGGAATAAGAGGGAGACATGGTCACTGCCTTCATGGAGCTCCCGGGCTCATGAGGGAAACACAAGCTAGACGATGACAAGAGTGACAATGACCCCACCGAATAACAGCTCTGTTGGGGGACGTCCGAGGTACGGGGGGGCGCATCGAGGCAGGTGTGTTCATCAGCGTCTACTAGGATTTGCAGGGTGACTGGGAATTAGCATGAGAAGGAACGGGAAGGGGATGGCAGGCACAGAGAACAGCTTGATCAGAAGCCTGGAGGCCGGCTGAGTAAGGTCAGGAAACTGAGAAAATCACGTGTGGCTAAAGCTGACAGTGATGAAAAGTAAGCTGGGAGAGTGTGGTGGTGCCTCGTCACCCAGGCACTGAGGGTTTGGAGGAACTAGAGGGTCTGAAGCCGGGAGGGGTGGTGAGGTTTTCAGGGAGTTTTGTGTTGCACGAAGATGAATTAAAGGTCAAGATTGTGTTTGGTTTGGGTAAAATTTTATCAACATGTGCCATACAGAAGAATGCACACCCGGCTGGGCGCGGGGGCTCACGCCTGTCATCCCAGCACTTTGGGAGGCCAAGGCGGGCGGGTCACCTGAGGTCAGGAGTTCCAGACCAGCCTGGCCAACATGGTGAAACCCCGTCTCCACTAAAAATATAAAAATTAGCCGGGTGTGGTGGTGGGCGCTTGTAATCCCAGCTACTTAGGAGAGGCAGGAGAATCGCTTGAACCCGGGAGGCGGAGGTTACAGTGAGCCAAGACCGCAGCATTGCACTCCAGCCTGGGCAACAAGAATGAAACTCTGTCTCTCCAAAAAAAAAAAAAAAAAAAAGAGAAAAATGCACACCTCATAAGCATGCAGCGCAGTGAACATCCGCAGAGTGAAGCACTGTGTAAGCAGCATGCAGATCAAGGGCACGTGAGCTGCGGCGCCTAGGCCCCCTCTAAGCCCCGCACTCCCTTCCAGACACATCTGCTGCCAAGAGTAACCCCCAGCTGACTTTCATCTCCGTGGATTAGCCTCGCCTGGTTTTGCATTTAGTATCAACGAGGCATACGGTGTGTGCCCCGCTACGTCGGGCTCCTCTCTCTCCACATAAGGCCTGTGAATTTCATCCATCGTGTTGCCCCAGGCGGTACTTCTTCTGGTTGCCAGGGTTACATTGTGTCGACAGTACTGATGATTGGCATTTGGGCTGTTTTCTTGGGCTGTGATGAATAGCACTGATGTGCACCTCCTTTTGATGGATGAATGTTCTTTTTTTTTTTTAATCCCTCAGAGTTGATCCCAAAGAATGTACTCATTTTTGGGGAGGGCATATGTGCTCAGGAGTGGGATTGCTGGGTCAGAAGTTATGCAATTGGTTCTGCATTCAGTTTTCCATACTGTTTGTAGGGTGTGAGCAGGTTTCAGTCAGCGTTTTCTGTAACTGTCTCCTGCCTAGTTCCCTCCCACCAATACCCAGCGACCCCACGCCTCAGCTCCAGGTCCCACCGACATTCACAGCCCCTCTCTCAGAAGCCTAAAGGCCAGGGTGCAGGAGAGAGTTTGGAGCCCGTGTCGCAGAGGGCTCTGAGTCCACCAGGGGCTGGGGGAGGGCCCAGCGGGGCTCCCTGAACACCTGCTGAAGCAGAGAGGGGCTCCCAGGCTTGAACACGCTGGGGAGGAGGATGTGGTGGGAGGCACTTCTGGGTTCCTGCTGCAGAGAGTGGGGCCTGAGACCACGGGCCTGCTGCATGGGGCAGGAAGTGCGCTGGCTGGCCAACTCGGGCCTAGAAAAAGGCAGGGGCTGTGCTCCTGCTTGAGAATGACGTGTGCCTCTCACTCACATTGTCTCTCTTAAAATGTAAGAGACCAGGGCTGGCAGCATCATGGGTTTTGGTTGCCACAGAAGGTATGGGTGGGACAGACAGCAGACATGGAAATAGACCCTGAGGGCTGGGCATGGGGGCTCACACCCGTAATCCCAGCACTTTGGGAGGCTGAGGCCGGCAGATCACTTGAGGTCAGGAGTTCGAGACCAGCCTGGCCAACATGGTGAAAACCCATCTCTACTAAAGATACCAAAAAAAAAAAAATTTAGCTGGGCATGGTGGCAGGTGCCTGTAATTCCAGCTACTCAGGAGGCTGAGGCAGGAGAATCACTTGAACCCAGGAGGCAGAGGTTGCAGTGAGCCAAGATCATGCCATTGCACTCCAGCCTGGGCGACAGAGTGAGACTCCATCTCAAAAAAAAGAAAAAAAAAAAAAAGAAAGAAAGAAATAAACCCTGAGAACAGGACAGGTTAGAGCTGGGTGAAGGCAAGATGTGAGCTTCAAGTCAGTGACCAGTTAAAAAGATTGTTAAACATTTAAATACAAAATACTAAATAAGGTCAGGCATGGTGGCTCGTGCCTGTAGTCTCAGCACTTTGGAAGGCCAAGGCAGGCAGATCACCTGAGCTCAGGAGTTCAAGAGCAGCCTGGCCAACATGGTGAAACCCCATCTCTAATAAAAATACAAAAATTAACCGGGTGTGGTGGTGGCACATGCCTGTAATCCCAGCTACTCAGGAGGCAGAGGCTAAGGCAGGAGAATCACTTGAACCAGGGAGGCGGAGGTTGCAGTGAGCCGAGATCACGCCACTGCACTCCAGCCTGGGAGACAGAGTGAGACTCCATCTCAAAAAGCAAACAAACAACGAAAAACATACTAAAGCAATAAATAAAGGCAGGAGATGGACAAGGGTTGCTGGGCTGTACCCAGCTCAGGGTGTAACAGGGCCCCTGTGGCTGCGAGCTGATGGCCAGTCCTCTGTCAGAGCTGGTGGGTCAATGGTTTGTCAGCCACGTGGTCAACAAACCTGCAAACTCCCGGCAGTGGGGGATAAAAGGTGTGGGAAGCAGAGGCAGCTCAGAGGGCCCCAGGCCATGTCATTGCATGATGGCGGCATGAATGGCAGTCTTGGGATCTGCAGTGCGCACCCTGCACAGCTGTTCATGATGGCCTCCTGGGAACGCGCAGTCCAGGTGGGAAGAAAGGGTGGGGGTGGGGTGCTATAGTCAGGGCTGCTGCAGGGCCTGGAGGGGATCAGGCTGCACTTCCTTTGGGAAGGCTTCCTGAGGAGCTGGGGTTTGGGATGATTGCTCTGCAGCAGGAGGGATCGCAGGCAGAGGAAACAGTCCGGGCAGAGGACTGAGGAGGAGAGAGACTGGAGGCGGGTCCAGGCCTGCACCTACCCCACCAAAACGGGGTCTGCGGTGGAGCCCAGTTTTGACCCCACCCTTCCTGGGGGAGCAGGGAAGGAGATGCTGGGTCTAGGGCTGAGGTCGGGGCTGGGGAGAGAGGCAGGGTTGCTAAGGAAGCAACCTAATTTGGGGGCTCAGCTGCAGAGCCGGAACAGAGGAGCAGCTCTCTGCTGCACCCAGCCCTCCGCCCCTCAGCCCTGCCCCAGATGAGCCCCCTCAGCTGTTGCCTGGGCTGTTGTTCAATAGTCACTCAACACTTACTGAGCCCTTGTTCTGTGCCAGGCATTGCTCCAGACCCTGGGAATAACACAGTGAAGAAGATAGACAAGATCCTTCGGGAGCCTACTGTCTCGTGGGGAGACAGATAATAGGCACTATCAGATGATGGCAGGTTCTGAGAAGGAAATCAAACAGGGTGATGTGAAGCAGAGTAACTGGGTTGTGAGGCACGGCTGGGTAGAGAAAGCATTTATGAGGAGGTGACAGGCGAGGCTGGGGAAGGAGAATAAGCCAACCTTGGGGAGAGTGGAAGGTGAGGGCTCTGGGAATAGGAAACAGCGCGGTGGAGGGAACAGTGCCGTGGAGGGAACAGCGCCGTGGAGGGCCTGAGGCAGGAAATGCTGGCGCTGGTCACCCAGGAACTGGGGCTGCCACTGACAGAAGGGACATTGGTGTAAACTACATGAGTGGGCCAGGTGCTGTGGCTCATGCCTGAAACTCACTGTAACTCACTAGGCTCACTCCCAGCAGTTTGGGAGGCCAAGGCAGGAAGATTACCTGAGCCCAGGAGTTCGAGACTAGCCTGGGCAACATGGCAAAACCCCATCTCTACAAAACATAAGAAAATTTGCCAGGTGTGATGGCACGCATCTGTGGTCCCAGTTACTTGGGAGACTGAGGTGGGAGGATCGCTTGAGCCTGGGAGGTCAAGGCTGCAGTGAACCGTGATCATGCCACTGTACTTCAACTTAGGTGACAGAAGGAGACTCTGTCTTAAAAAAAAAATTACATGAGTAAATTAAAAACCAAATAAGTGGGCCAGGCACAGTGGCTCACTTCTATTAATATAGAAGTTTTCTTGTAGTTTTGGAGGCCAGAAGTCTGAAAAGGTGTCAGCAGGGCTGGGTCCCTTCTAGAAGCTCTGGGGGAGAATCTGTTTTCTTGCCTTATTTGGCTTCTAGAAGCTGCCTGCATTCCTTGGCTCACGGCCTCCTCCTCCTCAAGCCTGCAGCATAGTAAGCTTTGCATCTTTCTCTGACACTTTGGAAGACCAAGGTGGGAGTGCTTGAGCCCAGGATCAGCTTGGGCAACACAGTGAGACTTCATCTCTATAGACAAATTAACAAAATTAGCTGGGCAAGGTAACTCGCTCCTGTAGGCCCAGCAACTTGTGAGGCTGAGGTAGGAGGATTGCTGAGCCCGGGAGGTCAAGGCTGCAGTGAGCTGTGATCACACTACTGCACTCCAGCCTGGACAACAGAGCAAGACACTACCTAAAAAACAAACAAACCCCACAAAATAACAGGAGGCTATTACCATCAACAAGGCAGGACGATGATGGAAGGAGCATCTGGAGAAGAGTTGCTTTCTAGAAATAATTTGGAGAGTCAGGCACGGTGGCTCATGCTTGTAATTCCAGCACTTTGGGAGGCTGAGGTGGGTGGATCACCTGAGGTCAGGATATCAAGACCAGCCTGGCCAACATGGTGAAACCCTGTCTCTACTAAAAATACAAAAATTGGCCGGGTGTGGTGGCTCACACCTGTAATCCCAGCAATTTGGGAGGCCGAAGTGAGTGGATCACCTGAGGTCAGGAGTTCAAGACCAGCCTGGCCAACATGGTGAAAACCCCATCTGTACTAAAAATACGAAAATTAGCTGGTCATGGTGGCGGGCGCCTGTAATCGCAGCACTTTGGGAGGCCAAGGCAGGAGAATCGCCTGAACCCAGGAGGTGGAGGTTGCAGTGAGCCGAGATCGTGCCATTGCACTCCAGCCTGGGCGACAAGAGTGAAACTCCATCTCAAAAAAAGAAAAAAAAAAAAAAGAATTTGGAGAGAGAACCAACAGGGTTGGCAGGTGGATTGGATGTAGGGCATGAGTGAAAACACGACGAAGTGAGGATGCCTCCTGGGTTTTGCCTTGAGAACTTAGTGGTTGCTGGTGCCATTTGCTGTGGCGGGGAAGATGAGAAGAAGCAGGCTTGACAGGAAAGACCACAGGTTCTGTTTGTTTCCTATCGACGCTGTAACAAGTTACCACAAATGTAGTGGCTTACAACAACACAGGTTTATTATTATTATTATTATTATTATTATTATTATTATTATTATTATTATTATTATTTTGCACTCTTTCACCCAGGCTGGAGTGCAGTGGTGAGATCTCAGCTCACTGCAACTTCCACCTCCCAGGTTCAAGTGATTCTCCTGCCTCAGCCTCCCGAGTAGCTGGGATTACAGGCTTTCACCACTATGCCCAGCTAATGTTTGTATTTTTAGTAGAGACGGGGTTTCACCCTGTTGGCCAGGCTGGTCTTGAACTCTTGACCTCAGGTGATCCGCCTGCCTCGGCCTCCCAAAGTGCTGGGATGACAGGTGTGAGACACTGAGCCCAGCTGCAAGTTTATTATCTTGTAGTTTTGGAGGTCAGAAGTCTGAAAAGCTATCAGCAGGGCTGGGTCCCTTCTAGAAGCTCTGGGGGAGAATCTGTTTTCTTGCCTTTTTAGGCTTCTAGAAGCTGCTTGCATTCCTTGGCTGACGGGCTCCTCCTCCTCCTTAGGCCTGCAGCATAGCAAGCTTCACAACTTTCTCCGACTCTGATTCTCCTGCCTCCCTCCTAGAAGGACTTTTGTGATTACACTGGGGCTTTACAGCCCAGCCAGGACAGCCCTGGGGGCTTCTGGGATGGGAGAGGCCTCCTTGGGAGGCTCCCAGCATTCCCTGCAGTCTCGCCACTTCTCCCCTCTGCCTGCCTCAACGTCCCCCTGAGTCCCTGCGGCTCGCCCATGCCACCGTTTTCGGGGCCTCCCTCATAGAAGGACCCTTGTGATTTCACTGAGCCCACCTAGATAATCCAGGATAACCCCCCCATCTCATGATCCTTAATTTATTAACTCACATCTACGAAGTCCCTTTTGCCATAAAAGGCAACATATTCACAGGTTCTGGGGATTAGGACGTGGCCTTCTTTGGGGGGCCATTATTCTGCCTACGATAGCAGATGGAGAGGTGGGAATTTCAGCCGTTATAGGTGTATTGAAGCCATGGGCTTGGAAGGGATCACTAGGGAGAGTGTGCCGGCAAGGAAGACAGTGACCCAGCCCCCAGATCCTGGTGGCAGATAGAGGTCAGACCGCGAAGGCACCAGCGAAGCCTTGAGGAATGAGGAGAGAGTAGGCAGAAATCTAGAAAAAAGTGTTCGAAGGAGATGGTTACTCATGTTTGGGGCTTCTGAGAGGTTGAGGAAGATGAGGACAGAGAGCGGTCCGTTGGATGTGGCATTGTGGGGGCCCCTGGTGACCTTCACAGGAACTGACTCAGAGGGTGGGAAGTCAGCTTGGGGTGGGTTCAGTTGTGGGTGGGCGGATGGACGCACAGGTGCAGACTTTCTTATTATTCTGTAAGCCATGCCGATACGTGAATATATTTCATAATGTATTAAAATGTAGAGTGATAGGAGTTGAGGAAGTGGAGACGGTATCTCATTTCTGCCCCACCTTCCTGTGCTCTTTAGTCTGTCCCAACCCACTGTAGCCACATCATGACCTTTTTTTTTTTTTTTTTTTTTTGAGACAGAGTCTCGCTCTGTCACCCAGGCTGGAGTTCAGTGGCGTGATCTCGGCTCACTGCAACCTCTGCCTCCTGGGTTCACACCATTCTCCTGCCTCAGGCTCCCGAGTAGCTGGGACTACAGGCACCCGCCACCACGCCCGGCTAATTTTTTGTATTTTTAGTAGAGACGGGGTTTCACCATGTTAGCCAGGATGGTCTCGATCTCCTGACCTCGTGATCTGCCTGCCTCGGCCTCCCAAAGTGCTGGGATTACAGGCGTGAGCCACCGCGCCCGGCCTCATCATGAGCTTTTGAAAGCACAGCTAATCATGTGCTTCCCCTTTATAAAGTCCTCCATGACTTCTACTGCCCTCTGCAGAAAGACCTTGGACTTGGTTCACTGTTAACCACCAAGCCCCTCGTCCCCTCCCCACCATCCCCTATGACAACCCCCGGAGCTCACTGTCTGTCTCAGGACAGCCCAGTTCTCCTGGGTAACGTGGATGGTGAGAATGTTGAGGCTGTCCCTGGAATCTGCCGTCTCCCTGGACTGGGCCTGGGTGGGGGCAAGAAGTTTGCAGTCAGGAGGCGCAGCTCTTGAGGCTGCCTTAATCAGGCTGAGGCAGCCACCCCCAAACCTCCAGTTCTTTTATTTATTTATTTATTTATGAGACGAAGTCACACTCTGTCCCCCAGGCTGGAGTGCAGTGGCGTGATCTCCGCTCACTGCAACCTCTGCCTCCCAGGTTCAAGCAATTCTCCTGCCTCAGCCTCCTGAGTAGCTGGGACTACAGGCACACGCCACCATGCCCGGCTAATTTTTGTATTTTTAGTAGACACGGGGTTTCACCATATTGATCAGGCTGGTCTCAAAGTCCTGACCCCAGATGATCCACCTGCCTCAGCCTCCCAAAGTGCTGGGATTACAGGCGTGAGCCGCCGCGCCCGGCCTCCAAACCTCCAGTTCTGACTGACCCACAGGATAGGGGCACCAGCGTACTCTTCTCAGGAACTAAGGCCAGGCAGGGCAGGCCCCCTGGGTGGCCCACGAGGAAGCCAGCACTGCCCCCAACAGAACCAACCCCAACGCTGGTGGTTTTCTGGCCTCCCCATCCCTGTCCCCATAAGAGAGCAGAGTTTTTATTAACCATCAGTATCACCCCTTCTTTGTCAGGGTGGGCAGCAGGCAGAGAGGGGTTGCATTTAACCATTTCCTGCCTGGTGCTGTGTAGAAGCAGAGGTTGGGCAAATGTCTTCCCCATAATCCAGAGTCTGGGCTAGGAATCTGCCGGCCAGACAGGGAGCTTGTGAGTGCAGGCAACTGGAATGGGAAGGGTGCTGGGCAGGCAGGGAGAAGACGAGGAACATCAGCCAGCTCAGCTTTGCAACCTCCCCTCCCACTCAGGCTCCTGGTCACCAGCCCCAGAACCAAGAGGACACCAGGGCCCCTCCATCGATGTTCCCTTGTCCAGGATGAAATCCTTTGCCATCCTGTAGGTAAGTCAGCCCCAACTCCAGGGAATGCTCCCCAGGACCCCCTTTCTAGCAAAATCCCCCTCATCTAAACTCAAACCATTCCAACCCCAGCCCTGCCTCATCCAGCCCGTTCACCCCTAGACTCCAGCATAACCCACAGCAAGATTCCATCCCAATGCCCAGTCCCACCCCAACCCAATCCTAATCCCCAGCCACCTTTCCTGACACAGTCCTAGCAACAGAAATGATACCTACAGCGTATTGCGTGCCCACCCTGTGCCCGGCAGTCCTCTGAGTCATTCTGTTTTCATCCTCAAAACCGCGCCATTTATAAGAGAGGAAGCTACAGTTCAGAGAATGTAGGTCTTTTGGTTGCCAGTATGACAAAGTTCACACTTTTAGTGTTGGTGGCTGATTCGAAACTCTAGCCCTTCCTGATGCAAGTCATCACACCTCAGTGCAATTCACCCCCTACATATTCAGTCTAACTGTGGCCACCCTAGTAACTAGCATGGGGCCTGACATATATTAGGTACTCAATAAATGCCATTTGAATGAATGAATGAATGAATGAATGAATGAACCTGATTCACTCATTAAACTCTATCCATCCTACCCAGTCAAACTCAGGTCACAGATTTACTGACAACCTCTTGGCTATATATATATAAATAAATAGAATCCTTGTCTTGTCTGAGGCTGGGCGCCGTGGCTCACGCCTGTAATCTTAGCACACTGGGAGGCCAAGGCGGGTAGATCATTTGAGGTCCAGAGTTCGAGACCAGCCTGGCCAATATGATGAAACCCCATCTCTACCAAAAATACAAAAATCAGCCAGGCGTGGTGGTGCATGCCTACAATCCCAGCTATTTGGGAGGCTGAGGCAGAAGAATCGCTTGAACCCAGGAGGTGGAGGTTACAGTGAGCTGACATTGCACCACTGGACTCCAGCCTGGGCAACAGAGCAAGACTGTTTAAAAAAAAAAAATCCTGCCAGGCACGGTGGCTCATGCCTGTAATCCCAACACTTTGGGAGGCTGAGGTGGGCCGATCATGGGTCAGGAGATCGAGACCATCCTAGCTAACACGGTGAAATCCCGTCTCTACTAAAAATACAAAAAGAAATTAGCCAGGTGTGGTGACGGGCACACGTAGTCCCAGCTACTCAGGAGGCTGAGGCAGGAGAATGGCGTGAACCTGGGAGGCGGAGCTTGCAGTGAGCCGAGATTGCGCCACTGCACTCCAGCCTGGGCGACAGAGCAAGACTCTGTCTCAAAAAAAAAAAAAAAAAAAAAAAAAATCCTTGTCTGAGAGGCACTGAGTTGAACAGACTCAATCTCAGTCCAGCAGGGTTGACTGAGTGATTCCATGACTGAAAAATAAGACAGTATCCTGAGGCTGACAGTGGGGAGGACGAGGAAGGAGCTACCATTTCTGCCCCTGAGGCTGGGGGCAGTAAGATTCCCCAGGATGGGTCTGTGAGGCTGGGGGGTTCCTTGGTCCACACAGCCAGTCCCACGGTATCTTGCACATTCCTTGGCACTTACATACCCACCAGGCAGTGCTTCTCCACCCACCTGCCCGACCAAACCCACTGAGGAAAAGCAGCAGGCATCCGCTGTTGCTGGACGCCCATCACCACGCTCACAAGGCTGGGCACAGAGCAGACGTCAATGGGCACGTGTTGAAAGGGTCAGCAAATGAGCCCCGGGGATGGGCACTCGGCCCTGAACGTGTCCAGTCCTGACCTTGAAGGCCCCCGCTCTAGCTTTCTAGAGGCTTCTCTGAGTGGCCAACAGTTCCTCATGGGGGCCTGACCAAGGTGGCTCTGTGCCCTCTGACCTTGGCTTCGGGTCTCTGCCTCCCAGAGTCCCCTCCTCCTCCTCACCTGGGCTTAACTTTTTCAGAGCATGTCCCCATCCCCAAGGGGAGGCACCGGGGAGTGACCGTTGTCCGGAGCCACCACGGTGTTTTGGTGAGTGCAGGAGCGAGAGGAGGGAGGGCCTTAGGGAGGCTGGTGCTAGCCCTCGTGGTTGACCCTGGTGTTGAGACCAGTTCTGACTGCCATGCTGTTCCCGAGGCTGAGTCTAGCGTCTCCCTGGTGCCAACCCCAGGGCTGACTGTAGCTCTGACCACCCTGATACCAGGGCTGACCTAGGTATTCCCTGTGACCCAGCACACTCCTGCAGGTGTCGGCCTCGGCCTTGATGCCAACACTGACTCCTACACCCGGTGAGGGGTGGGCCAGCTCTTCCTGTGCCCCCTGCCTGGTTGAGCCACTGAGTTCTGGAATGGGGGTGAGAATGTGGCTGTGGCTCGGGAATCGGGAGGTGACCTGGTGTTTCCCCACCCTCTCTTCCCTCCCACAGATATGCATTCAAGTGCTGGTCCGGCGGCCTCACAGCCTCAGCTCAGAACTCACAGGCACCTGTAGCCTCCTGGGCCCTGACCTCCGTCCCCAGGCTCAGGCCAACTTCTTCGACCTTGGTAAGGATTGGACATTCACTGGCCTTGGATAGCTCTAAAGAGATCTCCTTGGTCTCCAAGAAAAGGCACCAGCTCACGGCAGATGCAGTGGGACGCAGGCCCACAGTGGAGCAAGGCAGGGTTGAGGCATCACGTGAAAGGAATCAGGGCAGAACCATGTGTGAGCGTGCTCAGGCGAGGATGGAGCCTTTCTGACTCTGAGCTCTTCCATGTGTGTTTTTAAAGAAAATCTCCTGGATCCAGATGCACGTGTGGACACTGGAGACTGCTACAGCAACAAAGAAGGCGGTGGAGAAGACGATGTGAACACAGCCAGGCAGCGCCGGGCTCTGGAGAAGGAGGAGGAGGAAGACAAGGAGGAGGAGGAAGACGAGGAGGAGGAGGAAGCTGGTGAGAAGAGGCAGATCTGGGTTGCTCTGAGTCTATCAGAGCCAATTCCTAGGCTGGTGGCCTCCAAGGGTGAGGGGTGCCTCAGTCTGAGAGATGGGGAGCAGTGGCTGGACTTTACAGACCTGACCTGTACCAGCTCCACCCACTCTTTCTTATAAGTGGGGAAACTGAGGCTCAGAGAGTGGTAGTGATGGGAATGGCTCACACAGCACACAAAGCCTGACCAGGTTCTAGCTCTCTTTTTGAAGGGGGAGACAAAAGCTTCTCTCTTGGGGCCAGGTGAGGTGGCTCATGCCTGTAATCCCAGCATTTTGGGAGGCTGAAGTGGGCGGATCACTTGAGGTCAGGAGTTCAAGACCAGCCTGGCCAACATGGTGAAACCCCAACTCTACTAGAAAATTCAAAAATTAGCCAGGCATGGTGGTGTGCATTATAGTCCCAGCTACTTGGGAGGCTAAGGCAGGAGGATTGCTTGAACCCGGGAGGCGGAGGCTGCAGTAAGCTGAGATCCCACCACTGCCCTCCAGCCTGGGCAACAGAGTGAAGCTCTGTCTCAAAAAAAAAAAAAAAAAAAAAAAAAAAGCTTCCCTCTTGGGAGCTTCTCCAACTTCTTCCCTGAACTGAGCTGGTTGTCAGGGCTGCAGTGGGGGTGCATGCCCTACACATGCTACCCTTACATCTGCCTCACATCCCATGCCCACTCCTGACCTGTTTGTCTTGGCCAGGCACCGAGATTGCCATCATCCTGGATGGCTCAGGAAGCATTGATCCCCCAGACTTTCAGAGAGCCAAAGACTTCATCTCCAACATGATGAGGAACTTCTATGAAAAGTGTTTTGAGGTGGGCTTCCCTAAGAGCTGGTTAACACTTATCTATTGCTGAGAATCACCCTACCTCAGAACAACAATCACCACATTTGCTCACAATTCTATGGGTCACATACTTGGGCTGGGCTCAGCTGGATGATTCTTCTGTCCATCTTGCCTGGAGTTACCCTGGAGCTGCAGGCGTCTGGTTGCTTGACTGGGGCTGGATGGCCTAAGATGACCTCACTTACTTGTCTGGACCATGTGTCTTTAGCAGGCCAGCCCAACTTTTTCGTGGCAGCAACATTCTAAGAGGGCCAGATCCAATGCATGCAAGTATTTTTCAAGTCTCTAATTACATCACATTTGCTGATGTCTTATTGGCCAAAGCCAGTCACATGACCAATCCCATCGTCAGTATGGAGGGCACTACACAGGGAGCTGGGGAGAAGTCTGTGATTCACTGGGGGCCTTTACTATCGCACCCTTCTCCACCCCTACTCGCTTAGAGATTTTGCTCTGCCTTAGCATCTCTTTCTGCCCAGGGATAAGGTAGAAGGAGTGGATTTTTCTGCTGCTTCCAGCGGGAGACATTTCAGGGGCAGAGGTGGCAATTCTTCCAACCTCCTGCCCTCCTGCCCATCCCCTGCAGTGCAACTTTGCCTTGGTGCAGTATGGAGGAGTGATCCAGACTGAGTTTGACCTTCGGGACAGCCAGGATGTGATGGCCTCCCTCGCCAGAGTCCAGAACATCACTCAAGTGGGGAGTGTCACCAAGACTGCCTCAGCC
Organism: Homo sapiens; assembly: GCF_000001405.40. Lineage (NCBI taxonomy): Eukaryota > Metazoa > Chordata > Mammalia > Primates > Hominidae > Homo > Homo sapiens. The sequence continues at coordinate 3,759,415 of NC_000017.11, read as the reverse complement.
ATGCAACACGTCTTGTGAGTGTGGGGGCTGCAGGAATTATTCTGGCCATGCCCAGAGTCTCTGTGGCATCACTCATGGAGGAAGTGGCTGGCCAGAACCGCAGGAGAAGAGAATTAGGGCTCCAGCCTTTCCCTGGCCGAGAGAGAACGTGAGGGATGACACCTCAAGGCTGTCCTCCAAAAAGTCTTCCAAAGACTTCCTCTTGTGAGATGCAGGAGAGCAGAGTGCTCAGTGGACAGGCTGGCTGGGTTCAAATCTCAGCTCTGGTTTTTTTTTTTTGTTTTTTTTTTTGAGATGGAGTCTTGCTCTGTCACCCAGGCTGGAGTGCAGTGGCACGATCTCAGCTCACTGCAAGCTCCGCCTCCCAGGTTCACACCATTCTCCTGCCTCAGCCTCCCGAGTAGCTGGGACTACAGGCGGCCACCACCACGCCCAGTTAATTTTTTATATTTCTAATAGAGGTGGGGTTTCACCATGTTAGCCAGGATGGTCTCGATCTCCTGACCTCGTGATCCGCCCGCCTCGGCCTCCCAAAGTGCTGGGATTACAGGCGTGAGCCACCGCGCCCGGCCTCAGCTCTGGTTTGTATCTGTGTGACCCCGGGCAAACTGAAGGACCTTGTGACCTGTGCTTCAGTTTCCTCACTTTAAAAATGAGAAAAATAGGCTGAGCGTGGTAGCTCATGCTTGTAATCCCAGCACTTTGGGAGGCCAACACAGGTGGATCACCTGAGGTCAGGAGTTCAAGACCAGCCTGGCCAACATGGTGAAACCCCGTCTCTACTCAAAATACAAAGTTAGCTGGGTGTGGTGGCAGGTGCCTGTAATCCCAGCTACTCGGGAGGCTGAGGCAGGGAGAATTGCTTGAACTCGGGAGGCAGAGGTTGCAGTGAGCTGAGATCGTGCTATTGCACTCCAGCCTGGGTGACAGAGCGAGACTCCATCTATCTCAATAATAATAATAATAAAAATAAATAAATAAAATGAGAATAATAATAGTACTCACAGCTTGGAGCAGTGGCTTGTGCCTATAGTTCCAGCTACTCAGGAAGCTGAGGCAGGAGGATTGCTTGAGCCCAGAAGTTCAAGGATGCAGTGAGCCATGATCACACCACTGCACTCCAGCCTGGGTGACAGAGTGAGACGCCGTCTCTAAAAAAGAAAGAAAAATAATAGCACTTGCCTGATAGATTTTGTGATGGTTGGATGGCTTAAAATATACAGTGTTTACAACAGTGCCTGGCACATGATAAGTGCCATGTGAGTATTATCTATCGTTTTAATATCATGAGTCTTCCTGTACGCACACAAGAGGAATGGACTGCCAGGCAGTACCTTCCTGCTGGGAGCAGGTGAGAAGCAAGAACACCTGTGTTGCAGCCCTCCCTCTGCCCAGCCTCGCTGCGTGACTTAAGGGGGCATCACCCCCTTCTCTGGGTCTTTCGGGAGGATTGTGAACCCTCCCAATTCTAATACAGGTCAGAGAATAAAGTCTCTCCTGGAGCTCGGTCATCCTTCTGGCAAAGCTCTCTTCTTCATTTACTCTCCCCTGCTTAGAGACAGCATCTTCACCTCAAGCCACGGCTCCAGGAGAAAGGCATCCAAGGTCATGGTGGTGCTCACCGATGGTGGCATATTCGAGGACCCCCTCAACCTTACGACAGTCATCAACTCCCCCAAAATGCAGGGTGTTGAGCGCTTTGCCATTGGGGTAAGAGCCAGGAGCCGGGAGACACCTCCTGAACCTGCACAGCCTGGGGTGGGGAGAAGCCAGGGTTGTCGATGGGGGCTTTTCTGTAAGCAGCTTATCCAGACCCTGTTCTATTTGCAAATGCTCCTCTTCTCTCCATGCTCTGTCATCCCAGAGAGGGCTCATTTCCCCATGGTGGTCACAGCTTACTGGCCAAATAGTGGTGGGAGAGCCACAGGAAACACACCAAGGAGGGTTCCTGGAGGACCGCGGTGCCAAGCTGAGTCCTGCCAGACAAATGGGAGTAGCTGGCCTAGGGCACAGGGGAGGCAGAGAGGGGCCCTGCAGGCAGAGGGAACAGCATGTGCAGAGGTGAGGAGGAGCTTGGTGTATTCAGGAGAACAGGTGTACTTTGGTAAAACTGGAATTTTGCCCAGAGTATGGGTAGAACAGGGAGCAGGGAAAGGAGGAGAAAGGAAGGAAGGAGACAGGTAATGGAGGGCCCCAGAGGCCAGATGGAGGGGCTCAGCTCTCTCCCTGGGCCTGGGGAATCCACGCAGCGCTGACTCGCTGACCCAGGCTGTCTGTGCAGGTGGGAGAAGAATTTAAGAGTGCTAGGACTGCGAGGGAACTGAACCTGATCGCCTCAGACCCGGATGAGACCCATGCTTTCAAGGTGACCAACTACATGGCGCTGGATGGGCTGCTGAGCAAACTGCGGTACAACATCATCAGCATGGAAGGTGAGGGCTCCGGGACCCAGGCCACCGCAGGAGGCCCGAGCCTATGCTCCAGCCCGGCCTCTGTCCCATCTTCATGTGGTTTCTCTGAGCAACTCCCATCATCTCCCTGAACCTCAGCTCTTCCATGTCTAAAAAGGCAATGGCCGGGTGTGGTGGCTCATGCCTGTTATCCCAACACTTTGGGAGACAGAGGCAGGTGGATTGCTTGAGGCCAGGAGTTTGAGACCCGCCTGGGCAACATGGCAAAACCCCATCTCTACTAAAACAAAAAGTAGCTGGGGCCAGGTGTGGTGGCTCACGCCCATAATCCCAACACTCTGGGAGGCCAAGGCCGGTGGATCACCTGAGGTCTGGAGTTCAAGACCAGCCTGGCCAACATGGTGAAATCCTGTTTCTACTAAAAATACAAAAAAATGTAGCCAGGCGTGGTGGTGCATGCCTGTGATCCCAGCTACTCAGGAGCCCGAGACAGAAGAATCACTCGAACCCAGGAGGCAGAGGTTGCAGTGAGCCAAGATCGCGCCACTGCACTCCAGGATGGGTGACAGAGCGAGGCTCCATCTCAAAAAAAAAAAAAAAAAAATTAGCCAGGCGTGGTGGCGCATGACCTCTATTCCCAGCTACTTGGGAAGCTAAGGCACCAGGTCACTTGACCTTGGGAGGCACAAGTTGCAGTGAGCTGATATTGAGCCATGGCACTCCAGCCTGAGCAACAGAGTGAGACACTGTCTCAAAAAAAAAAAAAAAAAAAAAAAAAAAGGCCAACAATATCCCCAGGCCTCCTTGCGTCCCAGAATCTCCATGAAGCTCTGATGAACTGAGCTGGTGCTGGAGAAACAAGGATGGCTGGGGCATAGTCCCTTCTCCCAGGAGCTCACAGACGAGGAAACTGAGGCCTAGAAAGAGTGAACTGCCCAGATAGTAGTTGCTCAAGGAGAACCTGGGTCTCTACCCTCAGCCGGGTTCTCTTCCTGTTACACCAAGCATGGTTCCTTCTGGGAGTGAGGCCAAGCTGGACTGTCCCCTGACTCAGTTTCTCCCTTCACCTCGGCCCACAGCAGTCTCACTGGGCTTCTTGGCTTGCAGGCACGGTTGGAGACGCCCTTCACTACCAGCTGGCACAGATTGGCTTCAGTGCTCAGATCCTGGATGAGGTACGTGGCTGACTCAGCACCAGGCAGGCTTGCCCATTGGTGAGGGGCCCAGGACACCTAGGATTCAGGGACTCCTGCCTCCCATCCAGGGCTCTGCCCTACCTGTGGTGATTCCTGTAAAAGAGCGATTTTATTTTAATTAATTAATTTATTTATTTATTTTGAGACGGAGTCTTGCTCTGTCGCCCAGTCTGGAGTGCAGCGGTGCAGTCTCGGCTCACTGCAACAAAAGGGTGGCCATATTGATGACAGGAGGTCGCTTTTTTCTGTGTGCTCAAACATCCAGTTGTTCCCCTGAATACAGACCAGGCAACAGGACTCGGCCTGGGTCAGCTTATCAACCAAGCTGCTTGCTTCTCCCGGAGGAGGGAGTGCAAGGGCACGAGGCAGGAGCCCAGTGTTGGCCATCTCACCTTCCCGCCTGCATCTCTGGCCAGGCGGGCACTAGACCACCGAACGCCCCCCTGCTCCCAGCCAGGTTAGCCGCGCTGGCCCGGAGACCCGCGGCCACCGTGGCCCGGCCTTGGGTCCCTCCCACTCATCTGGGCCCCATCCCCGTCCCCTTCAGCGGCAGGTGCTGCTCGGCGCCGTCGGGGCCTTTGACTGGTCCGGAGGGGCGTTGCTCTACGACACACGCAGCCGCCGGGGCCGCTTCCTGAACCAGACAGCGGCGGCGGCGGCAGACGCGGAGGCTGCGCAGTACAGCTACCTGGGTGAGGGCGGGGCCACCTGATGAGGGCGGGGCCACCTGATGAGGGCGGGGCCTGGAGGCTCCCTGGGCGAGGGTGGGGCCTGAGGGCTACGTGGGCGAGGGCGGGGCCTACCTGGGCGAGGGTGGGGCCTGGGGGCTACCTGGGTGAGGGCGGGGCCTGGAGGCTACCTGGGCGAGGGTGGGGCCTGGGGGCTACCTGGGTGAGGGCGGGGCATGGAGGCCACGTGGGCGAGGGTGGGGCCTGGGGGCTACCTGGGAGAGGGCGGGGCCTGGAAGTTACGTGAGGAGGGTGGGGCCTGGAGACCACCTGGGTGAGGGCGGGGCCTAGAGGCCACCTGGGCGAGGGCGGGGCCGAGATGGGGACACCGAGGCTGCGCATTAGGCTGCACTTGAGGTTTCCGGATGGGGGCGGGACCTGGTCAGTCACATGGGCCGAGGGGCGGGTCCTGGTTAGGGACCGTGAGGCTGAGTACTACAGCCTCCTGGGTAGGTACAAGGCCTGTCAGGTACACACCAGGCACAGCAGCCACCCAGGGGAGGGCGGGGCCTCTCCATTAATAATAGTGGTGCAGTAGCTCACGCCTGTAATCCCAGGAGGCCGATGCGGGCGGATCATCTGAGGTCTGGAGACCAGCCCGGCCAACATGGCAAAACCCTGTCTCTACTAAAAATACAAAAATTAGCTAGGCGTGGTGGCGGATGCCTGTAGTCCCACGTACTCGGAAGGCTGAGGCACAAGAATCGCTTGAACCCGGGAGGGGGAGGTTGCAATGAGCCAAGACTGTGCCACTGCACTCCAGCGTGGGCGACAGACTGAGACTCTGTCTCAAAAATAAATAAATAAATAAATAAAAATAATAATAGTGGTGGGCGTCCTCTCACCCCTCTTCTCCGTCCTCCTAGGGTGTGTGTGGGAGCGTGGGTAGTGAATGTGTGCGAACGAGTATTTCGAGCAAAGCTGCATACGTGACAGACAGCGTGTGCATCATATCTGTGTGATGGGGATGTGTGTGACTGGCAAAGTGAGAGTGCTCGCTGATGCCGATTTTTAACATAGTGAGAAAGACAGTCTCTCCTATTTTGCCCCCCTCCCCAGGCCACTTTGAAGGCCTGACTGGGAAGGTGCCGGGGCCAAGAGAGAGGCCAGGTGGGAGCACACGGTGTGTTCACAGCCACACCACCCTTGCCCCAGGTTACGCTGTGGCCGTGCTGCACAAGACCTGCAGCCTCTCCTACATCGCGGGGGCTCCACGGTACAAACATCATGGGGCCGTGTTTGAGCTCCAGAAGGAGGGCAGAGAGGCCAGCTTCCTGCCAGTGCTGGAGGGAGAGCAGGTACCTGCTGGGGAAAGCCTCCACCCCTTATGACCGATGGGGAATCTGGAGGCCCCCAAGGGAAAGGAGTGGGTCCCACGGTGCACAGTGGGCCAGGGCCCGGGCTGGGTGAAACTCAGGCTCCTGAGTGGAGCTCGAGGGCTCTGCTTCAGCTCTGCATGTCTGATTGCTAGGCAGTTTCCTCCGCTGTGGGGCCTGGGCTGCTCCTCCACTCTTCTGTTACTCTCAGTGAGCAAATTGATATGTAACGACCCAAATTGGGTGGTCCAGGAAGCACGCGGGCAGGGGTGTAGCCTTGCTGAGGGGTGCAGGAGCGGGGCTCCTGGTGAGCTGAGTTCCTCCCGGGCTGTAGATGGGGTCCTATTTTGGCTCTGAGCTGTGCCCTGTGGACATTGACATGGATGGAAGCACGGACTTCTTGCTGGTGGCTGCTCCATTTTACCACGTTCATGGAGAAGAAGGCAGAGTCTACGTGTACCGTCTCAGCGAGCAGGTGGGAGAGTCTCCATCTTCATGAGCTTGCTGAGGCTGTGGCACTCAGCCTGACACAGAGGTGATGGAGGCTGGGAGTGCCCTGGCCCTGCCTGGCACCAGTGGGCAGTGATGGGGAGGTGCTCAGGCTGGATGGCGGCTGGGCGGGGCAGCGGCATCGCTCTCCGCACCCACTTTCTTACCCAAGGGTGATCGTTGATGATAATATCTCTAATATCTCTTTTTTTGTGGTTGTTGTTTTTGAGATGGAGTTTTGCTCTCGTTGCCCAGGCTGCAATGCAATGGCAGGATCTTGGCTCACCGCAACCTCTGCCTCCGGGGTTCAAGCAATTCTCCTGCCTCAGCCTACCAAGTAGCTGGGATTACAGGCATGGGCCACACACCCGGCTAATTTTATATTTTTGGTAGAGACAGGGTTTCTCCATGTTGGTCAGGCTGGTCTTGAACTCCCGACCTCAGGTGATCCACCCACCTCGGCCTCCCAAAGTGTTGGGATTACAGGCGTAAGCCACCTCGCCCAGCATTTTTTTTTTTTTTTCCGAGACTGAGTCTCACTCTGTTGTCCAGGCTGGAGTGCAATGGTGCAATCTCAACTTACTGCAACCTCTACCTCCTGGGTTGATTCTCCTGCCTCAGCCTCCCAAGTAGCTGGGATTACAGGCATGTGCCACTACACCCGGCTAATTTTTGTAATTTTAGTAGAGATGGGGTTCCGCCATGTTAACCAGGCTGGTCTCGAACTCCTGACCTCAGGTGATCCACCTACCTTGGCCTCCCAAAGTGATGAGATTATGGGCGTGAGTCACCGCGCCCAGCTGATAACATCTCTTACAGCTGCATGGTTGGCAAAGCCCGTTTAGTCCAGGATCTCACTTGTTTCTCATAGTAACTATGGGAGGTAGCTGCCACTCTCATCTTACGGGTGAGGAAGCTGGGGCTCGGCGAGCCTCAGTGATGCCGAGACTTGCTCAAGTGTACCTGGCATGTGTGTGGCAGAGCCACGAGTGAAACCCAGGCCTCCCATTTGCAGCAATGCACCCCTGCCCATGGAACTAGAGGGGGGCGGGCTCTGACTCCTGAACTTCCAGGTAGGAGGACCCCAGCTTTCCCCTGGTGCTCACTGTATGGCCTTGGGAAGGTCCCTGGCCAGTGAGCGTGCATCCTGGGTGGCAACGGAGTGGGCACCCACCAGCCCAGCGAGCGTGCATCCTGGGTGGCAACGGAGTGGGCACCCACCGGCCCAGTGAGCGTGCATCCTGGGTGGCAATGGAGTGGGAACCCACCGGCCCAGCGAGCGTGCATCCTGGGTGGCAATGGAGTGGGCACCCACCGGCCCAGTGAGCGTGCATCGGGGTGGCAATGGAGTGGGCACCTAGCACCCCTTCTTGAGGGCTGAGCTGTTTGTTTGCTTTACAGGATGGTTCTTTCTCCTTGGCACGCATACTGAGTGGGCACCCCGGGTTCACCAATGCCCGCTTTGGCTTTGCCATGGCGGCTATGGGGGATCTCAGTCAGGATAAGCTCACAGATGTGGCCATCGGGGCCCCCCTGGAAGGTTTTGGGGCAGATGATGGTGCCAGCTTCGGCAGTGTGTATATCTACAATGGACACTGGGACGGCCTCTCCGCCAGCCCCTCGCAGGTGACCCATGGGGCCCTCTCCTTCCTCTCCTCTGGGGCTCTGACCTCTCTCAGATATGATGACCCAAGCCCCAAGTCGGCTTCAGTCCTAAGTGCTGGGCAGGTCTCGGGGGTTGGGAATGCCCAGTGAAAGAAAGAAGTCCCCCAGGCTAGGGGGAGCTTCCAGACCAGGGCCTCACCTCAGCCCCTTCAGGTTGGGGGGAGGTTCCAGACCAGGGCTTCACCTCGGCCCCTTCAGGTTCAGGGGAGGTTGTGGCGGTACCTGTCTCCTTCCCTGGCCTATACCCCCTCCTTCCACCCACCTGCCTCGGGTCCCTGCTTCCTCTCTTTCTGTCCCTCGCTCCTGTCTCCCACCCAGCACCTCCGCGCCTTATCTCTCATTCCCCAGGGCTCCCTTGCCAGCCTCTCACACTGCATGTATTAACAGGCACTTCCACCCACCTCCAGCTCCTCATGAGCACCTCCACCTGGATGGCCCCCAGGCATCTCACTCCCACACGGCCCATCTGAGAGCACCTGCTTCCCCTAGAACTGATGCTCCTCTGAGACCTCATCCCCCTCCACACCCCACACCGGAAACCTCAGACAGTCCTCAGCACGCTCACAGCCTGCACAGCCTGTCAGTTCCCACGTCCTCATGATTCTAGCTGTCTCCCAACTCCAGCCCCTTCTCTCTATCCCCACCCCTGCGGTCCCAGCTCAGGCCTTGCCATCCCACTCCCAGCCCACCCAGCTTCCTCCTCCTCTCCATCTTCCACCCCATGTCTTCAGTGCCATTTCTAAAGTGTTATCCTGATTATGTCACTTCAAAACAACAGAACCTTTGTTGACACCCCCCATCCCCAAGCCCCACATCAAGCCTCCTTGTACCCCAATCCCCTGTGGTCCACCCCGTCCCTGGCCCTGGCTGCTTCTCAGAAGGCCCTGCTCTTTCCCCATGCCTCACTCTTTCCCTTACTCTCCCCTGTCAAGTCCCACCTGCCCTTCGAGGCTCCATCCAAATGCCACTTCCTCTGGGAAAGCTTGCTCCCTCTTTCCTGGTTCTAGACTCGGGGCTCCCTGGGGCTGGATGGTGCCTGCGATGCTGATCGGGATAGATCATGAAAGGACTCCCCGCCCCGTTTCCCTCCCTTCCCTCGCCCCACGCCTTGTGTTTCTGCCTCCACAGCGGATCAGAGCCTCCACGGTGGCCCCAGGACTCCAGTACTTCGGCATGTCCATGGCTGGTGGCTTTGATATTAGTGGCGACGGCCTTGCCGACATCACCGTGGGCACTCTGGGCCAGGCGGTTGTGTTCCGGTAGGGTTCTGTCCTGCTTTCTGGGGTCCCAGGCCCAGCCTCACCCATTTGCCCTGCTCTAAATAGCTCCATGCAGACATTAGGCACTGAGGGAGGGAGCCAGCACCGTGGTTGTGGGCACAGGCTCTGGAGTCTGCCCGTCTGGGTTTGAACCTCAGCTCTCAGCCCTCTCAGCCTTTGGGCAGGTTATTTAACTCTAAGACCTTACCTAGGAATTATAAGAGCACCTACCTCCCAGAGCTATGAGGATCATGCAAGCGAATATATACAAAGTATTTAGCACAGTGCTCAGCGATGGCTGTGATTGCAGAGTTTTTTGTTTTTTGTTTTTTTTCTGAGGCGGAGTCTTCCTCTTTTGCCCAGGCTGGAGTGCAGTGGTGTAATCTTGGTTCACTGCAACCTCCGCCTCCCAGGTTCAAGCAATTCTTCTGCCTCAGCCTCCTGAGGAGCTGGGATTACAGGTGTCTGCCACCACGCCCGGCTAATTTTTGTATTTTTAGTAGAGACAGGGTTTCACCATGTTGGCCAGGCTGGTCTTGAACTCCTGACCTCGTGATCCACCCATCTTGGCTTCCCAAAGTGCTGGGATTACAGGCATGAGCCACTATGCCTGGCCAAGAATTGCAGAGTTTTTGTGCCCCATCCCTCAGTGAATGATCAAGTCCCGTGGCTGTAAATGAGCTCATGGAGCGCCCGTCTGTCCCGTCCTCTCCAAGCTGCAGACTTGCTGTCTACCCAGCACCTCCCTGAGCTGCTGCTCACAGTCATCCCGAAGTGAACACGTCTAAAAACAGAGCTTTTGCTGGGCGCAGTGGCTCACACCTGTAATCCCAGCACTTTGGGAGGCCCAGGCGGGTGGATCACAAGGTCAGGAGATGGAGACCATCCTGGCTAACACGGTGAAACCTCATCTCTACTAAAAATACAAAAAATTAGCCGGGCATGGTGGCGGGCGCCTATAGTCCCAGCGACTCGGGAGGCTGAGGCAGGAGAATGGTGAACCCGGGAGGCGGAGCTTGCAGTGAGCGGAGATCGCGCCACTGCACTCCAGCCTGGGCGACAGAGCGAGACTCCGTCTCCAAAAAAAAAAAAAGAAAAACAGAGCTTTTATCTCCCCCCACCCTTCATTCCCCCAAATCTATCCTGCCCTCAGGCTTTCTGTCTCAGCAAATGGCATCATCATCCACCCAGCAATTCAGGATGAAAACGTAGGCGTCATCTTTGATGCCTCTTTTCCTTCCTCTCCACCACATCAACAAGTCTTAGTTGGCTCTGCCTCCAGACCAGTGCAGGCACTGTCTTCACTCCCTGGACACTGCTGCCACAGCCTTTCCTGCTTCCAGCCCCTGCGCTCCATTCTCCACACAGCAGCAGCCCTATCCCTTCACTCTGCTGCCTGAAACTCCTCCACGGCTCCTATTTAGAGTAAAATCCCAATTCCTCACCATGGCTTTACAGGGCTCTTCGTGGCCTGGCCCTTCCCGCCCCTCCATTCCCATCTCCTCCTCCCATCCTCTGTCTCACTAATTAGATTCCAGGCATGCTGACCTTTGTGCTCCTCAAACAAACCAAAAGTGTTCCTGCCACAGGCCCTTGGCACTGGCTGTGCTTTCTTCCTGGAGTGCTCTTCCCCAGATCCTCACACAGCTGGCTCTTTCTTGTTAACAAATCTCAACCGAAATGCCTCCTCATCAGCCACGCCATCTGTGACCACCCAGTCTCAGTAGCCCTCGGTCCTTATTACCGTATTTTTGTTGTTGTTGTTGAGATGGAGTCTTGCTCTGTCACCCAGGCTGGAGTGCCGTGGCAGGATGTCGGCTCACTGCAACCTCCGCCTCCCAGGTTTAAGCAATTCTCCTGCCTCAGCCTCCCAAGTAGGTGGGATTACAGGCGCCCGCCACCACACCCAGCTAATTTTTGAGTTTTTTAGTAGAGACGATGTTTCACCAAGTTGGCCAGGCTGGTCTCGAACCCCTGACCTCAGGTGATCCTCCCGCCTCGGCCTCCCAAGTGCTGGGATTACAGGCGTGAGCCACCGCACTCGGCCAACAGTATTTTAATTTTTCTCATAGCCTTGCCAATACATAGTATCTCCCTGTTTCTCTCGTTTATTTGCTTGTTGTCTGCTTTCCCACCAAAGCAGAAACTTGTCTCTTTCCCCACTGTACCCTGAGACTCAGGGATCACCTGGATGTGGGCATGTTTGATAGAGAACCATTGAATGCATGAACCAATCAGCCAGGCCCTGACCCAGAGGCTGAGCAGTCACTTCTCCCATCCTCTTTGCTGTCTTGTTTAGCTCCCGGCCTGTGGTTCGCCTGAAGGTCTCCATGGCCTTCACCCCCAGCGCACTGCCCATCGGCTTCAACGGCGTCGTGAATGTCCGTTTATGTTTTGAAATCAGCTCTGTAACCACAGCCTCTGAGTCAGGTAAAAAAATGGTCCAGCTGACCCCTGCCTGGTGTGATGGTCTTTCCTTTTTGGCTTCTGTAAGGGGCAGGGAAAGAGGACTGGGGCGGGGGGTGGGTGGGTGTTGGTCTGAGGTCCTGGTGCTTGAAATCCCTCGATTAGAGCTTAGCTCCTTAGTCTCCAGGTTTGTTAAATGCAAACTGCCTCAAGAAAGGGTGGTCTGAGGTTATGTCCACACTCAGAAGGGGTTTAGAGCTGACACTGTTGGGAAGAGGGACACTGGGGCCCTTCCTCAGGGTTGAAGGGTTGAGTTTCTGAAAAAAAAGACTCAGAAGGCCGGGCGCGGTGGCTCACGCCTGTAATCCCAGCACTTTGGGAGGCCAAGGCGGGCAGATCACGCGGTCAGGAGATCGAGACCATCCTGCCTAACATGGTGAAACACCGTCTCTACTAAAAATACAAAAAATTAGCCGGGCAGGTGCCTGTAATCCCAGCTACTCGGGAGGCTGAGGCAGGAGAATAGCATGAACCCAGGAGACGGAGCTTGCAGTGAGCTGAGATCGCACCACTGCACTCCACGCTGGGTGACAGAGCGAGACTCCGTCTCAGAAAAAAAAAAAAGACTCAGAAAAAGGCAGCCATTTCTCCATGCCCACGTGTGTGCGTGTGTGCGGGGGCTTCTGAGACACACCCTCCTCTTTCTCTCTGACTTGTGTCTTCTCCCCTTCCCTCCTCACTATGTGCCTCCGGCCCAGGTGGGATTGGATCACCTGTTGGAGGCCTGGTTTCTCTTTCCTTACCTGAAACTCATTAGGAGACTGTTCCCAGAAAGGAGGTGGTGGGCATGGCTTTCACAGCCCAGGTATTTACTGCTCATCCAAGAGCTCCCCCCTGGAACGATTCCTCAGCAACAGTCCCCGAGGTTTAATCTCTCAGGAGCAATCTCTGAGATGGTCTCTGCCTCCCACAGTCAGAGAGCAGTCTCCTGGGGTGGGGTGGCTTTCCCAAAGCAGCAGGCTATTATCCACCTGGGGATTGAAAATGACAGACCTGGCCGGGTGTGGTAGCTCACGCCTGTAATCCCAGCACTTTGGGAGGCCGAGGTGGGCAGATCACGAGGTCAGGAGATCGAGACCATCCTGGCTAACACGGTGAAACCCCGTCTCTACTAAAAATACAAAAATTAGCCAGGTGTGGTGACAGATGCCTGTAGTCCCAGCACTTTGGGAGGCCGAGGCGGGTGGATCACAAGGTCAGGAGATCGAGACCATCCTGGCTAACATGGTGAAACGCCGTCTCCACTAAACAAAATACAAAAAATTAGCCAGGTGTGGTGGCGGGCGCCTGTAGTCCCAGCTACGGGGGAGGCTGAGGCAGGAGAATGGTGTGAACCCGGGAGGCGGAGCTTGCAGTGAGCCAAGATCGCGCCGCTGCACTCCAGCCTGGGTGACAGCGAGACTCTGTCTCAAAGGAAAAAAAAAAAGAAAAAAGAAAAAAAAAAGAAAATAACAGACCTGTCCCTTCCAGGACACAGAGCTCGATGGGCTGTGCGATGCTGGGCAAGTGTCTCTCCCTAGCTGAGCTGGTTCTGTTCTGTACAGTAAGAGAGGCGGCCCCGGGATCTCCACGGTGCTTCCAGCTGTGCCGTCCTGGGGTTTTTCTCCGCAGAGTCCCTCTTTCCCTCTCCATTCTCTTTGTTGTCTCTCTTCCTCCTTATTTTCTTCTTCAATCTCGATCCCCTTCCCGAGCCCTCCTTCCCTAAAGAAGGCTGACTCAGTCCTGGGAATGTGCTGCTCCGGGTTTGGGGCGGGAGCACTCAGAGACCCTGGTCAGGTGTCAGAAGACGGTGAGAAAAATATCTTTGAAAAACCGACGCAGGAGTCCAGCCGCAGGGAAGTACCTGCATGGGGACACTGTTCAGGAGGGGCCACAAGGAACCTCAGGCAGGCTGGGGGCCTTCTGTCTGCGGCTGGCTCATCCCCACCTCATCGGGAAGGTCTGGTCTTCATTCCCAGGCCTCCGCGAGGCACTTCTCAACTTCACGCTGGATGTGGATGTGGGGAAGCAGAGGAGACGGCTGCAGTGTTCAGACGTAAGAAGCTGTCTGGGCTGCCTGAGGGAGTGGAGCAGCGGATCCCAGCTTTGTGAGGACCTCCTGCTCATGCCCACAGAGGGAGAGGTAAGTGACGGAGTTTGGATGGGAGTCAGGAGGGGTCTTTGTCATTGAGAAAGGATTTGAGGTGATGCAGTGAAGGGCACATACCCAGACCTACAAATGAGGTGATTAAAATAATCATAACAGGCCAGGCACGGTGGCTCACGCCTGTCATCCCAGCACTTTGGGAGGCCAAGGCGGGGGGATCACTTGAGGTCAGGAGTTCGAGACCAGCCGGGCCAACACGGTGAAACCCTGTCTCCACTAAAAACACAAAAATTAGCCGGGCGTGATGGCGGGTGCCTGTAATCCCAGCTACTCGGGAGGCTGAGGCAGGAGAATCGCTGGAATCCAGGGGAGGGAGGTTGCAGTGAGCCGAAATCATGCCACTGTACTCCAGCCTGGCCAACAAGAGCAAGACTCCATCTCAAAATAATAATAATAATAAATCAAGAACCACGTAATGGCACGGAAGATGGAGATGCTGTCATTGCTGACGTTTTTCTTGGTAATAACTCAGGAATGCCAGTGTTCTTGGCATGCGTTATCAGACCTCACCTGATAATAACTAGGACCGAGGGCCTGAATGTCAGTTGGCATCAAAAAAGTGAACAACTAAAAGGAAGAATAAAAAGATAGAAACGACCATCTAGAAAGGTTTACTCCTGGCAAAGGTGCCCAGAGACATGGGGTAAAAAAAGTATGTCGGGACTCAAACCCTGACAGGATCTCGAACTTTGGATCTATATGGATCGTTTATTCCAATAAACAAATGCATGAATTCTTCTTCTGAATACACATTTACCCCCAAAGTGATTGTTAATTGGATTAAAGTCTACAGCCTTCCTTAAATAAAGGCTTAATCACATTCTCTACCAGAGAATCATGCTCACTTTCTCCCATGGGCTTGAGGCTCTTATAGGGGCAGAAAGGCTTATTTAAACAAAGAGAGTGGCAAATGGTATGCTAAGCAATCTCCTTATCTTCTCTCTTACCTCTCTAATATGTCCTCCATGTTGCTTTGAGAAAGATCTTGGTTGGTTGGGCGCAGTGGCTCACGCCTCTAATCCCAGCACTTTGGGAGGCCGAGGTGGGAGGATCACCTGAAGTCAGGAGTTCGAGACCGGCCTGACCAATGTGGTAAAACCCTGTCTCTACTAAAAAAAAATACAAAAATTAGCCAGGCGTGGTGGCATGCACCTGTAGTCCCAGCTACTTGGGAGACTGAGGCAGGAGAACCTTGAACCTAAGAGGCAGAGGTTGCAGAGAGCCAAGATCGAGCCACTGCACTCCAGCCTGGGCGACAGAGCGAGACTCCATCTCAAAAAAAAAAAAAAAAAAGAGAAAGAACTTGATAAACCCAGGTGTGGCTGTGACTCTTCCCTTCTGTCTGAGCCAGTTCTTTACCCCTTTGTGACTGGGATAAGAACCATAGCAGCTATAGACACAAAACCGTAGTAGAATGAAGGAGATTTTTCCCAAAGCACTTGGCAGCTTGCTTGAAGGACGTGTCCCTTCAGCCTGGCTTATTTGGAAGATGCTTAGGACTTCTGACTCACCACTTTTATTGTTTATTTCTTCTTATGATGACATCAAAGTAGAAAGTATTCTTGCAAGGTGCGGTGGCTCATATTTGGAAATCCCAGCACTTTGGGAGGCCAAGGTGGGTGAATTGCTTGAGCCCAGGTGGTTGAGGCTGCAGTGAGCCATCATGGTGCTGCTGCCCTCCAGACTGGGTGACAGAGTGAGTGAGACCTTATCTTAAAAAAAAAAAAAAAGAAAAGAGGCCGGGCGCGGTGGCTTACGCCTATAATCCCAGCATTTTGGGAGGCTGAGGCGGGTGGATCACTTGAGGTCAGGAGTTCGAGACCAGCCTGACCAACATGGCGAAACCCTGTCTCTACTAAAAATACAAAAATTAGCCAGGCGTGGTAGCACACACCTGTCATCCCAGCTACTCGGGCGGCTGAGGTAGGAGAATCGCTTGAACCCGGGAGGCGGAGGTTGCAGTGAGCCGAGATCACGCCACTGCACTCCAGCCTGGGCAACAGAGCAAGACTCCATCTCAAAAAAAAAAAAAAAGAAAAAAAGAAAAAGAAAAAAAGCATTATTGTTGTCATCTTCTCCCCCACATCCAACTCTAACCCTGCCTTCCGTGGTGACCCCACAGCTCTGTGAGGAGGACTGCTTCTCCAATGCCAGTGTCAAAGTCAGCTACCAGCTCCAGACCCCTGAGGGACAGACGGACCATCCCCAGCCCATCCTGGACCGCTACACTGAGCCCTTTGCCATCTTCCAGGTGACTCTACCCACAGCCAGTACCCAGCCCTCTTAAGAGCCTATCCCACAGAAACCACCTGCTCCCCTAACTTCCAAGAATGGTGGAGTTGGGAGGCAATGTCTTCAGACGGCATTTGGGCCCCTCACCGTACTCATGGTGAAACTGAGTCCCTGAGATGGTGTTAATGTGTCCCCGTGAGTGAGGACTCATGGGTAACGCAGGTCTCCATCTGCCCCTGGGGCTTGTTCCTTTATGTCTTTATGTTCACAAAAGCACTTGCTACATCTTTCATGAGGCACATGCATACATTGCATCCTGGGGACCTCACTTGGCAAGCGGCTCTGATGACGCTGTGATGGGGGTTCCTTGTGGGAGCTAGACTGGAGCTGTCGTGTCTTGCACTGCAGAGAGGATGCCCTTTGGCACACCTGCCTGTTCATGCCCTGCCAGGGCCTTCAGGCTGAATGGCCCCACCAAACCTGTATCCTAGCCTCTCCTCCTGGTGCCCATCAGTGCAGCTTAGACAGGCGGGTAGTGTCATAAGAAACTTTTGTCAGCCGGGCGCCCTGGCTGATGCCTGTAATCCCAACACTTTGGGAGGTTGAGGCAGGTGGATCACCTGAGGTCAGGAGTTCGATACCAGCCTGGCCAAGATGGTGAAACCCTGTCTCTACTAAAAATACAAAAATTGGCCGGGTGTGGTGGCATGGGCCTGTAGTCCCAGCTACTAGGGAGGCTGAGGCAGGAGAATCATTTGAATCCTTTGCCCAGGAGGCAGAGGTTCCAGTGAGCCAAGGCCGTGCCATTGCACTCCAGCCTAGGCAACAGAGCGAGACTCCATCTCAAAAAAATAAAAAATAAAATAAATTTTAAAAAATACAAAGATTAGCCCAGTGTGGTGGTGCATGCCTGTAGTTCCAGCTACTCAGGAGGCTGAGGCAGGAGAATTGCTTGACCCCGGGAGACAGTGGTTGCAGTGAACCGAGATCGTGCCACTGCACTCCAGCCTGAGTGACAGAGAAAGACTCCGTCTCAAAAAAAAAAAAAAAACCACAAACCTTCAATATATATTTCCTAAAAACAAAGGCATTGTCTTAACATAGTACAATAATCAAAATCAGGAAATTCACATTGATAAAATACTATTATCTAATTTACAAACTTTATTCAAATTTTGCCAGTTGTCCTATTAATGTCCTTTATAGCAAAAGAAAAAAAAGGTTCTGGTCCAGGATCATTCATAGCGTTCTACAGTTATTTATCTTTAGTCTCCTTTAATCTGGAAGGGTTTCTCACTCAGTCTTCCCTTGTCTTTTAATGACATTAACATTTTTGAAGGGTACAGGCCAGTCCTTTTGTAGAATGTTCCTCAATTTGTCTGATATTTCTTCATAATTAGATTCAGGTTATACATTTTTGTTTTGTTTTTGAGACAGAGTTTCGCCCTTGTTGCCCAGGCTGGAGTGCAATGGCGTGATCTCGGCTCACTGCAACCTCTGCCTCCCAAGTTCAAGCAATTCTCCTGCCTCAGCCTCCCGAGTAGCTGGGATTACAGGCATGTATCACCATGCTCGGCTAATTTTTGTACTTTTAGTAGAGACGGGGTTTCACTATGTTGGCCAGGCTGGTCTTGAACACCTGACCTCAGGTGATCTACCCTCCTCGGCCTCCCAAAGTGCTGGGATTACAGACGTGAGCCACCATGCCTGGCCAGGTTATGCATTTTTGTCAGGAATATCACAGAAGTAAAGTGTGTCCTTCTCAGTACACCATCTCAGGAGGC
Organism: Homo sapiens; assembly: GCF_000001405.40. Lineage (NCBI taxonomy): Eukaryota > Metazoa > Chordata > Mammalia > Primates > Hominidae > Homo > Homo sapiens. Next base: position 3,741,723 of record NC_000017.11, on the reverse strand, counting down.
ACCTAATGTGGACTTGTCCATTCCTAGTGCTGTTTGCCTGTGTCATTAATAAGCACGTCTCATTTTATGGTGAGATGCCTTGCGATTGTATCCTGCTTAACATCTCTTTATGTGTCTTTCCTTAACCAGTGATGACTATTATGCTATGGCAAAGAGATTTTTAAAAAGTTATTCCCCGTATAAAATGGGTGAGGAAAAAACCACGTGGTATTAGGCACATCGGTGTTACCAGAGAGTGCGTTCTGGCTGGGAGTTTAGATGGCTTAACCCCATTCTCTTTCACTGGGGCTGGGTGGAAGAGATCAGGCTATGTGGCTATATTAAAAATACAACAAAAGGCCGGGCGCGGGGGCTCACGCCTGTAATCCCAGCACTTTGGGAGGCCGAGGCTGGCGGATCATGAGGTCAGGAGATCGAGACCATCCTGGCTAACACAGTGAAACCCCGTCTCTACTAAAAATACAAAAAAAAAAAAAAAATTAGCTGGGCGTGGTGGCGGGCAGCTGTAGTCCCAGCTACTCGGGAGTCTGAGGCAGGAGAATGGCGTGAACCCGGGAGGCGGAGCTTGCAGTGAGCGGAGATTGCGCCACTGCACTCCAGCCTGGGCGACAGAGCGAGACTCCGTCTCAAAAAAAAAAAAAAAAAAAAAAAAATACAACAAAAAACCCTGCATGAAACTGTTGACCCACTTAGAGAGAGCGCCACGCTTTGACTTCTGCAAATGGCATCCCCCTTCCGCAGGAAGTAGAAAGTTCCCTTTCAAGCCCTGGGCTGTCATTCCCCCTCTAGGCCGTGGGAACAGACCTGCAGACAGCTGCCGAGGTGGCCACCGGGAGAGAAGTGCGAAGTGCAGAGGCTCTCCAGCCGAGGAGCTGGCTGCCTTCCTTCATAATACAAAAACAGACCCAGCTACTTTAGAACACTGGAATTTTTAAAAACACGAACTGGAGCTTTTCAACCTCCATGGGGCCTTTTGAAATGTGGCTTTCAGAATTAGTCGATTATGTGTAGGCAAGGGAAATAGTTAGCTTACAGAGACGACTAGCCAGGCCGGGCGCGGTGGCTCACACCTGTAATCCCAACACTTTGGAAGGCCAAGGTGGGTGGATGACCTGAGGTCAGGAGTTTGAGACCAACCTGGTCAACATGGCGAAACCCTTTCTCTAATAAAAATACAAAGTTAGCCAGGCGTGGTGGCACATGCCTGTAATCCCAGCTACTTGGGAGGCTGAGGCAGGAGAATCGCTTGAATCCGGGAGGCAGAGATGGCAGTGAGCCGAGATCGCGCCATTGCACTCCAGCCTGGATGACAGAGCGAGACTCCATCTGAAAACAAACAAACAAACAACCGAAAAAACAGATGACTAGCCATGAGGAAGGAACCTCCAAGGCCTGGACCTTGACGATATTTGGCTAGGCATCCCCCACTCCTGCCCGGGCTGTTCTGCCTATATCCGAAAGGACTAAGGAAGCTTCTCTTCGCGTAGGTGTCTGCTCCCTGAATGCTCAAAGTCGTGAGCTGTGTGTTGCTGCTGAATTCGCATGATGTAAATGTCATGGGCACCCCTAACATTCCGTGAAGGTCACCCCAGTTTTTACCTTGGTCAAAGGACTGGGTCACAGTGTGCCCATGTTATAGGACAGATCCAGGAATGTCACCCAGGAATGTCACAGTCCCTGCTCTTCGGGGACAATCCCAGCCTGCACCCCTCACCTCCCTGTAACTGCACTTCTCAGGGTGAGCAGGAGGCACAGCCCAAAACTTCCTATAAGGAGAAGAGCCGGAGGCAGGGCTGCTGGGGAAGGCGGAGCCTGGGCTGATCGGGACTCTCTGTCTGGTTACAGCTGCCCTATGAGAAGGCCTGCAAGAATAAGCTGTTTTGTGTCGCAGAATTACAGTTGGCCACCACCGTCTCTCAGTGAGTTGGACATAGCCGTCAGTTTCCTCGATTAACCTTCTCCCGAACGCTTGCCTGGGCAATTCCTTCATTAGGACACCCTGCACATCCCCTTCCCCTCTCCCCGTGGCCCACAAATGGCTTCTGCACTTATTATCTCAATATGTCCTCAGCTACCCCAGAAGGGAGGCAAGACAGAGATCTGTCTTCCCACTTTCTAGATTAGGAAGCAGACTCAGTCGCCGAGGGCCCTGCATAGGCCATTTGGTGGACTTGAACCTGGGTCTCTTGACATCCCGGACAATGCTATATTCAGAACCCAGCGTTCTTCACAGCCAGGCTGACCTCTACCTCAGTTAGAGGTAACCTCTTTCCCGGCCCACCTCTTGGCCAAATTAACTAATCAATCAAATATTTCTGGACCATCTACTTTGTGCCAAGCACTCTAGGTGCTGGGGATACTTCTGTGAACAACACAGACAAAAATCCCTGCCCTCCTGGTGCTCTTAGGGGGAGAAGATGGTAAGTAGGTAAATTCCATGTTGATGAGATGAACGTTGAAGACACAGGGAAGGTGGGAAGGAGTGTTGGGTGGCAGCTGATGCTGAAGTTTTCAATGGGGTGGTCACGGAGGGTGACACTTTGGCACACACTGGAGGAGGTAGGGGAACGAGCTATGTGGTTGGGTGTCTAAGGGAAGAGCAGCTGCAGGTACCCTGGGTTGGAAGCCTGCCTGGTGGGTGGGGGGCAGGGTGAGGAGCTAGTGGCTGCAGTGGAGTGGGGCGGGGTGTAATGAGGGAAGGGGAGGAAGGGGGAAGAGGCCATGGGGCTTCTTAAGCCCTCAGAAGGGCTTTTGCTGTGAGCTGGGAAGTCAGAGGAGTGACACACTCATGCAGCTTAGCAGGATCCTTCTTGCTGCTTAGCTGAGAAGAGAAGCGGCACTTGCTCCCTTTGTAACCACTCAGGTGAGAGGCGGTGTGGGCTGGGCCATGACGGGAGTAACAGTTTAAAGTGACAGCTCATACGTAGCACGTGCTGACAGAATGGAGGCGGAGGGAGGAAAGAGGGCCACAGCCCCAGCATGCGGCACTGCACTGTCCAACACACCAGCCACGCTTAGCTGTTTACATGTACATGAGTTAAAATTAATCACAATGAAACATTTTGTTCCTCAGTCACATTAGCCACACTTCAAAGACTCAGTGGCCGCCTGTGGCTGGTGGTGTTGGGCAGCGCAGATACCGCCTGTCTCCATCGCTGCAGACGTTCTATTGGACCACACTGAATTCCAGAATGACAGTGTTGCCAAGCACATGAGTGTGGGTTTAGACATGTAGTGGTCTTAGAATGCCCCCCAGGCCGGGCGCGGTGGCTCATGCCTGTAATCCCAGCACTTTGGGAGGCAGAGGTAGGCGGATCATGAGGTCAGGAGTTTGAGACAAGCCTGGTCAACATGGTAAAACCCCGTCTCTACTAAAAATACAAAAATTAGCTGGGCATGGTGGTGGGCGCCTGTAATCACAGCTACTGGGCAGGCTGAGGCAGGAGAATCGCTCAAACTCGGGAGGCGGAGGGTGCAGTGAGCCGAGATCGCTCCACTGCACTCCAGCCTGGGTGACAGAGCAAGACTCCAAAAACGGGGAGGGGGGGAGGGTAACAAAACAAAACAAACAAGCGTCCTTGGCGACTAGTGTTGTGTATGTATTGTGATTCTGTTGGCCAGCTGGCTGGAGTTGCCGTATATGGGGAAGAACGCAGTTCCCCAAGTCCTGGTCAGCCCTTTCATAGACATTTGCAGGACCAATTGAAGACTTTCAAATGCTCTGGAATCCAGGCTAACAAGCAGGCACAGCTGTTTCCAGCAGGGAATTAATTACAGCCAAGAACCAACCTCCCAGCCAGCTACTGGGGGTAGTAGAGATACAGCACGCATGGCTTGCCCTACATCGCCCCCTAGTGTACATAGCAAGCAAACGCTTCTCTTTCAAAAACGCTAGTGAGCCTGGTCGTCGGTGTCCAGCTGTCTCAGTGGTTTTTGACCTGAGGACATAGATCCCCAAAAGAATCTAATGAAGACTACAGACCCCTCTCCTTAGAAGATCACATGTGCATACATAAATTTTGGCATTCCGGGCCCTCTGAGACGGTCCCTAGGCCTCAGATTAGGCAACGCTGTTAATATTCTGATGACACTGAGGTCTCACGCCTGAGCTCTAAGATGTGTGTCCAGCTGACATGTCAGCATCTCTGCTTTGTTATCCTATATGCACCTCTTGTCATGTCCCCGATTGAACGCATCTTCTTCCACCCTTGGGTCTTCCTCCCATGTTACCTCCCTCAGTCAATGGCACCACTCAGCCACCGGCACCACTCAGCCACCGGCACCACTCAGCCACCTGAGCTAGAAACTCAGAACTTGCCCTTAACTCCTCTGTCCCCCCTCCCCTGCCTCTTTTTCGTTTCATTTGCTTTACTGTCTCTGACTTCTTTCCTTCTCCACTACTGTTGTCTTTTTTCTTCTTCTTCTTCTTTTGAGACAGGGTCTCACTCTGTCACCCAGGCAGGAGTGCAGTGGCGCGATCTTGGCTCACTGCAACCTCCGCCTCCCGGCTTCAAGTGCTTCTCCTGCCTCAGCCTCCTGTGTAGCTGGGATCACAGGCGCACGTGACCACACTCAGCTAATTTTTGTATTTTTAGTAGAGACGGGGTTTTACCATGTTGGCCAGGCTGGTCTTGAACTCTTGGCCTCAAGTGATCCACCTGCCTCACCTCCCAAAGTGCTGGGATTACAGGCGTGAGCCACCGTGTCCAGGCATCCACTACTGTTTCCTTATTTCAGGCATGTATCATCTCTCGGGTGGAGACAGCAGGCTCTGTCTCTGCTTCCTGTCTCTCCCTCCAGTCAATCCAGCCTCTTCTCAGCTGGGATAAAAACCAAACCAAAACCAAACAATGGGAACAAAACACACCTCACATTACTTCCTAGGCCGGGCGTGGTGGCTCACGCCTGTAATCCCAGCACTTTGGGAGGCCATACTTCCTAGATCTGCACATCTCATCTTTGGACATTTCAGATGGAAAACAGTTTTCTCGGTATTGCTAATATGTTTTTCTGTCAATCTCAGCTACTGAGAGTGGTTCTGCACTCTGGGTCCCTGTGATACCTCAGCATTCTGGAGGACCCTTTCACACATCCCCAGGACCCTCTTTTCCAGGACATGTGGACCCATGTCTTAAACCACAGCCTTTTAATGGGAAGGGTCTGAATGATTTTGTGGGTAGGAAGCTGAGGCCAAGAAACGGGGTAGGACAGTATGTCTTATGCACACTGTTCTCCAGTGCACAGCAGTGCCCCATAAATATTGTGGCATGGATGAATTTGTGTCATAGAGTACCTCACCTAGGGTCACAGTGAATTGGTGGTAGAAAGAGGATTTGGGTACAATTCTCTCAATTCTTTGGACTACTAGACTCCAGGCATTTAATTAGCCTTTTATTTATTTATTTATTTATTTTGAGACAGAGTTTCACTCTTGTTGCCCAGGCTGGAGTGCAATAGTGTGCTCATGGCTCACTGCAACCTCTGCCTCCCGGGCTCAAGCAATTCTCCTGCCTCAGCCTCCTGAATAGCTGGGATTACAAGTGCCTGCACCACACCTGGCTAATTTTTTTTTTCTTTTTTTGAGATGGAGTCTCATGCTGTCACCCAGGCTGGAGTATAGTGGCGTGATCTCAGCCCTCTGCAAACTCCCCCTACCGGGTTCAAGCAATTCTCTGTCTCAGCCTCCCGAGTAGCTGGGATTACAGGCACCTGCCACCACACCCGGCTACTTTTTGTATTTTTAGTAGAGACGGGGTTTCACCATCTTGGCCAGGCTGGTCTTGAACTCCTGACCTCAGGTGATCTACCCGCCTCGGCCTCCCAAAGTGTTGGGATGACAGGTAATTAGCCTGTCTTGGCTTCTGTTTCCTCTTCTATAAAATGGAGAGTAGCTGTACTATTTCACAGGGTTACTATGAGGGTTGAGCGTGTGAGACGCAGTCCTTGGCACATGGTAAGCACTAAATAAAGGGCAGCTATTATCGTCATCTCATGCAACAACTGAGATGGGCGTGGCAGTCCAGCTGTTTGCTTATGTTGAGAGGAAGAATGTCTAAGCTAAACGTATTCCTTAGGCAACTTATCTAAGAAGTTACTTAAGAAGGTGCTATTCTGGGCTGTGTGCGGTGGCTTACACCTGTAATCCCAGCACTGTGGGAGGCCAAGGCAGGTGGATCACTTGAGCCCAGGAGTTCAAGACCCGCCTCCACATGGCGAGACCCTGTCTCTACAAAAAATACAAAAATTAGCTGCACATTGGCCAGGCTGGGTGGCTCACGCCTGTAATCCCAGCACTTTGGGAGGCCGAGGCAGGCGGATCACCTGAGGTCAGGAGTTCGAGACCAGCCTGACCAACGTGGAGAAACCCCGTCCCTAATAAAAATACAAAATTAGCCAGGCATGGTGGCGCGTGCCTGTAATCCCAGCTACTCAGGAGGCTGAGACGGGAGAATTGCTTGAACCTGGGAGGTGGAGGTTGCAGTGAGCCGAGATCGTGCCATTGCACTCCAGCCTGGGCAACAAGAACGAAACTCCGTCTCAAAAAAATAAAAATAAGAAAAATATTAGCTGGGCATGGTGGTAAACACCTGTAGTCCCAGCTACTCGGGAGGCTGAGGTGGGAGGATCACTTGAACCCAGGAAGTGGAGGCTGCGGTGAGCCGTGATCATTGCACCACAGCACCACGCTCTAGCCTCGGTGAATGTCCTATTGTATTGCGTTGAGGTTTTTACAGATGAAATAAACTGTAACATTTTTATCTGTACCCTGTGCAGGCAGGAGTTGGTGGTGGGTCTCACAAAGGAGCTGACCCTGAACATTAACCTAACTAACTCCGGGGAAGATTCCTACATGACAAGCATGGCCTTGAATTACCCCAGAAACCTGCAGTTGAAGAGGATGCAAAAGGTGACTGTGACGGTGGCTGTGGAAACAGGTCCCTCACGCCCCTCCCTCGCTGCATGCCTGCTTTTCTGTGGTGGCCCCCTCACTGGCACCCCTGCCTCCAGCCTCCTCCTGGTCCAACCAACAGATGGTTAATAACTAGATAAATCCCCGCCAGTCCGGCTCCATGCCTCCCGAGGCACCATATTCTGCTGCAGTGCCACCCTCCCTATGTGCGGCCCTTTCTTCACCAGGGTTCTGAGAGAGAAGTGAGTCTAATGCCCTAAGACACTGAGAAAGTAAAAATTAGCTTAGACTGGGAAAGTGAAAATCTGCCCTGCCATTCCCAAGGCTGGATACAGACACAGATACTAGGAAACAGTCTGTTTCCCGAGGACACCCTGTGGCTGACAAGTATCACTGCACTGAGAAATTTTATTCTCTAAAATCACAGATCAGAAAACTTTGGGCCGGGAACGGTGGCTCACACCTGTAATCCCAGCACTTTGGGAGGCCGAGACGGGCGGATCACGAGGTCAGGAGATCGAGACCATCCTGGCTAACACGGTGAAACCCCGTCTCTACTAAAAATACAAAAAAAAATTAGCTGGGCGCGATGGCGGGTGCCTGTAGTCCCAGCTACTCGGGAGGCTGAGGCAGGAGAATGGCGTGAACCCGGGAGGCGGAGCTTGCAGTGAGCCGAGATTGCGCCACTGCACTCCAGCCTGGGCCACAGAGCAAGAGTCTGTCTCAAAAGAAAAAACAAGAAAGAAAACTTTGCTGTTTGAAGTAGTTACGTCGGTAATTATGAACCCCTATCCCTCTTGCCTGGAGAGTGTAAGTCATTTTGACCAAGAGAAGAGTCTGTTTCCACCTGAGGTAGAGAGCTTCAGATACAGTGTCTGTCAACTTTCTACTCCATATTAATGGTTTCCCAGGAAGCGGGCCCTGGGTCTGATTCACAGGCTGGCCTGCTGGTGACTGACTCCTTGACACTCAGCCCTGCTTTACCATCAAAACAGGACTTTATTTACATTTCATCTGAACTCCACCCTTCCCTGGAGTCCTTTAATAACCGCCTTTTCCATTGTTCAGTGATACACACAATAGTGTAGTTTTTGGATGGGTGCAGTGGCCCATGCCTGTAATCCCAGCACTTTGGGAGGCCGAGGCGGGCGGATCACCTGAGGTCAGGAGTTCGAGACCAGCCTGGCCAACATGGCAAAACCCCGTCTCTACTAAAAATACAAAAATTAGCCAGGTGTGGTGATGTACACCTGTAATCCCAGCTACTCGGGAGGCTGAGGCACGAGAATCACTTGAACCCGGAGGTGGAGATTGGAGTGAGCTGAGATTGCGCCACTGCACTCCAGCCTGGGCAACAGAGCAGGACTCTGTCTCAAAAACAAACAAACAAACAAACAAAACCAAAGTGTAGTTTTCCTCATTGCAGTGAGTCAATAAATTTGAATTTGTTGGACTGTAGATTTGTCCCCGGTCATCTTAGGCTATTTGGGCTAGGACAGTATCCATTATATGAATGAAGCAATCTCCTAGGCCGGGCACCGTGGCTCACGGCTGTAATCCCATCACTTTGGGAGGCTGAAGTGGGTGGATCACTTGAGGTCAGGAGTTCGAGACCAGCCTGGCTAACATGGTGAAACCCTGTTTCTATTAAAAATACAAAAAATTAGCCGGGCGTGGTGGTGGGCACCTATAATCCCAGCTACTTGGGAGACTGAGGCAGGAGAATTGCTTGAACCCGGGAGGTGGAGGTTGCAGTGAGCCGAGATCGCGCCACTTCACTGCAGCTTGGGCGAAAGAGTGAAACTCCATCTCAAAAAAATGAAAACAAAAGCAAAAAACAATCTCCTAGGCATCTAGAGGGGAACTAGGGATGGACCGTCCCTGGGAGAATTAAGAAAACTCACTGCAGTCATCACCTGCCCCTCGGGGGTCCAGGTGGGGAGCCCTGGTGGCTACGTGGCAGTGCTGGTGTGTGCCGGCCTTCCAGCCAGGCTGTGGGTTATATTTGCATCAGTCCATGGCCCAGCTCAAATGCCTCCTTCCCCAGGAAGACCTTACGAATTCCTCCGAGTTGGAATTCATATTTCTCCACTGCTGTTCTCTGCAGCTCCCTCACAGAAGCACCCCTTCGACCTTGTATTTAAATTCCTCGGGGATCTACTGCTGACCCTGCCTGTCCGGCTTGTGAGGAAGACAGGGACCAAGTGGACTTTATTTCTTTAGCTCCTGGCAGGGTGTCTGACAGGCAGAAAAATTAGTGAATGTTTGCTGAATTGCTGTGAGGAAACCACGTTTTTGTTTTGTTTTGTTTGGCTCTTTAAGAGAATGTCATCTGCTCTTTTAACAGCCTCCCTCTCCAAACATTCAGTGTGATGACCCTCAGCCGGTTGCTTCTGTCCTGATCATGAACTGCAGGATTGGTCACCCCGTCCTCAAGAGGTCATCTGTGAGTCGGTTTGGACTGATTCGCTCTTCTCACCACCCTGCAGTTGGCGTCTTCTGCATCTTGGTCTCATCTCAATCTCTCGGTTCCAGCTTTGCGCTTCGCTTGACTGCAGTGTGTCCCCAGCAGTGCTTACAGTGGCTAAGCTGGCTCTGAAAGTAGGGGGTGATGGGGACGAGAGCTTTCCAGTACACAGCCCTAGGTGAACTGCCTGCTCACCTCCGTGAAGCAGAGTGAAGTTGTGGGTAGTATGGAGGGCGTGTCAGACAAAAAGTTTTTTTGTTTGTTTGTTTTTGAGATGGAGTTTCATTCTGTCACCCAGGCTGGAGTGCAGTGGCACAGTCTCAGCTCACTGCAACCTCCGCCTCCCGGGTTCAAGTGATTCTCCTTCCTCAGCCTCCTGAGTAGCTGGGATTACAGGCGTGCAGCACTACACCCGGCTAATTTTTAAAATATTTTTGGTAGAGATGGGGTTTCACCATGTTGGCCAGGCTGGTCTCAAACTCCTGTCCTCAAGTGATCCACCTGCCTCGACCTCCCAAAGTGCTGGGATGACAGGCATGAGCCACCATGCCCGGCCAAGACGAAAAGTTATTAACCCTGATCTGTCCCTTGTCATCTCTGTGCTGTGGGAAATCTCTGAAGTGGCTTCTTCACCTGTAAAAGGGGAATGAGGCCGCCTGCCTTGCTTACTCCATATTTGTATTTGAGGCTTAACTGAAATAACGGGGCCAGGCGCGGTGGCTCATGCCTGTAATCCCAGCACTTTGGGAGACCGAGGTGGGTGGATCATTTGAGGTCAGGAGTTCGAGACCAGCCTGGCCAACATGGTGAAACCCCGTCTCTACTAAGAATACAAAAATTAGCTGGGCGTGGTGGTGCGTGCCTGTAATCCCAGCTACTTGGGAGGCTGAGGCAGGAGAATTGCTTGAACCTGGGAGGCAGAGGTTGCAGTGAGCTGAGATCACACCATTGCACTCCATCCTGGGTGACAGAGCGAGACTCCCTCTCAAAAAAAAAAAAAAAAAAAAAAAAGGAAGGGAAAGGAAACATGCTGTGTTAGAAAAATGTGAGGAATGTGAAAATCTGAGGAATCGTCTCCTAGGTCTGTTCCACGAGTAGCTAGCGGTCTGAATTGTGAGTGGCATAGAGAGAATCAACTGACCATTTTTCCCCCTTTAAAATAGGCTCATGTTTCAGTCGTTTGGCAGCTAGAGGAGAATGCCTTTCCAAACAGGACAGCAGACATCACTGTGACTGTCACCAAGTAAGTACTGCCTGGGTCACAGCAGAGTCAGGCTATGACCCCGGAAGACATCTCCCTGCCACATGCACGCTGTGAGAGGAACGGCCCCCTTACAGCCCAGGGAGAAAGGAAACCCCAGTGAGCCCACAGAAGGCATCTGTTTCCCTGCAGGGACTCGACTTTCTCTTCTTGTTACCAGAGATAATGAAAATGTTCTTTTGTTCACACACAAAGTAAAACTGTGGTACAGCCTGGTGGAATGAGCCCTGGAGTTCTGGTTCTCGTTCACTCAGCTTTGGAATAGCTTGGGATAGCTATGTTACCTGCAAGACCTCTGTGTTGGGGGGTAAGGTGGGGAACGCTGCTGGGAAGAGTTCTCAAAGGGAGGTGATTCTGCCCACCAGAGGCTGTGCCTGTTTTGATTGCCATGACTTGGGGAGGGGGGTGTTCAGTAGGACATCTGGTGGGTAGAGGCCAGGAATACTGCCAAACATCACGCAGAGCAGTACAGGACAGCCCCCACAACCAAGAACTAACTGGCCCAAAACGTCAATAGTGTGGAGGCTGAGAAGCCCTTTTAAAATCAGTATTCTTCTAAGTGTGGTCTTCTAGAGACAATTCTGAACTCCAATTGCTTATCTCTGAAAGCCTTTTATTTATTTATTTATTTTTTGAGACAGAGTCTCGCTCTGTCGCCCAGGCTGGAGTGCTGTGGCGTGATCTCGGCTCACTGCAACCTCTGCCTCCAGGTTCAAGCAGTTCTCTGCCTCAGCCTCCCGAGTAGCTGGGATTACAGGCGCCCGCCACCACGCCCAGCTAATTTTTGTAGTTTTAGTAGAGATGGGGTTTCACCATCTTGGCCAAGCTGGTCTTGAACTCCTGACCTCGTGATCCACCAGCCTTGGCCTCCCAAAGCACTGGGATTACAGGCATGAGCCACCGCGCCCAGCCTCTGAGAGCCTTTTCTTATCTGACTCCCAGTGACCCTGGGGAGCCAGGTGCAGAAGCACCTGTTCTGCAGTGAGAGCACATGGACACAGGGAGGGGAACAGCACACACTGGGGCCTGTGGGAGGGGCAGGGTTGGGGAGAGCTTCAGGAAGAATAGCTAATGCGTGTTGGGCTTAGTAACTAGGTGCTGGGTTGACAGCTGCAGCAAAGCACCATGGCACACGTTCACCTATGTAACAAACCTGCACATCTGCACATGTACCCTGGAACTTAAAAAAATAGCCAGGCGCAGTGGCTCACGCCTGTAATCCCAGCACTTTGGGAGGCCAAGGCAGGCAGATCACTTGAGGTCAGGAGTTCGAGACCAGCCTGGCCAACATGGTGAAACCCCATCTCTACTAAAAATACAAAAATTAACTGGGTATGGTGGCTCACGCCTGTAATTCCAGCTACTCAGGAGGCTGAGGCATGAGAATTGCTTGAACCCGGGGGGCGGAGGTTGCAGTGAGCTGAGACGGCAACACTGCACTCCTGCCTGGGCAACAGAGCGAAGCCCTTTTTAAGAAGCACTTGCTATGTACAAAGCAGGTGTGCTATGAACTAACACTCTTATTCCTAGTTCCAATGAAAGACGGTCTTTGGCCAACGAGACCCACACCCTTCAATTCAGGCATGGCTTCGTTGCAGTTCTGTCCAAGTGAGTACTCCCAAGAGGCCAGCAGCGGTGTGACTCCATCGCCCAGGGGGCAGCTTTGGGCTCTCTCTCGTAGATGGAGCTGGTGGTCAGGATGAATGTGGACACTGTCCTTCTGAGAGGAGCCTGCTTAGAACCCAGGCTCTGATATTGATCTCTAGGGTGCTAACATTTGGGTCACAGAAACCCCACTGTGGTCATCAAAGGAGGTGTATTGCCAACTAGTCGTGCTACAAAAGGGAATTAATATGACGCTGTGGAGGGAAGAAGGCAGCTGTGGGACTGGGAAGTAAGGAGGGGATGAGTAAGGCCATTTGAGGGATAATTAGAAAATGAACCAGCCCAACGATACAGAATTCAAATATTCCACCTCACCCCAACTGCGCTACGACCACTTTATATTTTGACATTCAGCTTTTATTCCTTTTTTTTTTTTTTTTAAACTGAGACGAAGTCTCACTCTGTCGCCCAGGCTGGAGTGCAGTGGTGCCATCTCGGCTCACTGCAACCTCTGCCGCCCAGGTTCAAGCGATTCTCCTGCCTCAGCCTCCCGAGTAGTTGAGACTACAGGTGGACACCACCAGGCCCAGCTAATTTTTAAAAAATTTTTAATAGAGACGGGGATTTCACCATGTTGGCCAGGCTGGTCTTGAACTCCTGGCCTCAGGTGATCCGCCTGCCTCGGCCTCCCAAAGTGCTGGGATGATAGGCATGAACCACTGCACCCGGCCTCATTCCTGGTAAAGGTCTGGTGCCCTCTGTCCTAATGTATTCAGTTGAAAGCAGTCGAGTTCATTCAAAAAGAGAAGGCCAGGTGCGGTGGCTCACGCCTGTCATCCCAGCACTTTGGGAGGCTGAGGTGGGTGGATCACCTGAGGTCAGGAGTTCAAGACCAGCCTGGCTAACATGGCGAAACCCCGTCTCTACTGAAAATATGAAAATTAGCCAGGTGTGGTGGCAGGCGCCTGTAATCTCAGCTACTTGGGGGCTTAGGCAGGAGAATCACTTAAACCCAGGAGGCAGAGGTTGCAGTGAGCTGAGATCGCACCACTGCACTCCAGCCTGGGCAACAGAGCAAGACTCCACCTCAAAAAAAAAAAAAAAAAAAAAAAGGGATGAGTGTAGTGGCTCATGCCTGTCATCCCAACACTTTCCCAGGCTGAGGTGGAGGATCACTTGAGCCTGGGAGGTTGAGGCTACACTGAGCCATGATTGTTCCACTGTGCTCTAGCCTGGGCAACAGAGTGAGACCCTGTCTCCAAAAAAGGGAGAAAGACTCCTCAAGGGCTGACGCATGTCCTGTCAATTGCAGACCATCCATAATGTACGTGAACACAGGCCAGGGGCTTTCTCACCACAAAGAATTCCTCTTCCATGTAAGTACTTATTATTGTAAAGCTGTAGATGGCAAAGCAATACCAGCTTTGATTTCCTACTCTGATTTTAATTTGCAGGTACATGGGGAGAACCTCTTTGGAGCAGAATACCAGTTGCAAATTTGCGTCCCAACCAAATTACGAGGTCTCCAGGTTGTAGCAGTGAAGAAGCTGACGAGGACTCAGGTATTTAAAGGCAGTTCTTTATCAGTCACACCTCTTTCCACAGTGACTACAGAGTCTCAAGTATAAAAACCAGAGTTCTAGAAACAGAGTGAAGACAAGTTAACCATGGGAAAAGATTAGGAGTAAATTCCCGAAGTCCTGTTCAGAAGGACTCTCAATCACTCAGCTCTTAAAGCAACCTGTCAGTTTTCCTCCCTTTGAGGAAAAATAAGCAAAAATTGGCCAGGTGCGGTGGCTCACACCTGTAATCCCAGCACTTTGGGAGGCCGAGGCGGGTGGATCACAAGGTCAGCAGATCGAGACCATCCTGGCTAACACGGTGAAACCCCGTCTCTACTAAAAATACAAAAAATTCTCCGGGCGTGGTGGCGGGCGCCTGTAGTCCCAGCTACTTGGGAGGCTGAGGCAGGAGAATGGTGTGAGCCCGGGAGGCGGAGCTTGCAGTGAGCCGAGATCCTGCCACTGCACTCCAGCCTGGGAGACAGAGTGAGACTCCATCTCAAAAAAAAAAAAAAGCAAAAATTAAAACCTTGTCAGTAGACAGAGACATTTTCCCTTTGAAAATTGATAAATTCTGCTTCTCTGTGTGAGCGATGTAACATGTGACATTTCTTACACTGCCCCCTATAAGTTGCTTACTAGCTTCCCTTCTTCTCCCCTGAGACTCTTTTTTGGTCTCTGCTTTGCCTCAGCCTCTTTGCTTTCAGTTGTCTCATCTGTAGTCTGGTTCCCAAAGCTAGCCTTGATACCTGAAGCAACAGGCTCTGCTCAGTATGAAGCTGAAGCCTGGGCATTTTTTTTTTGCTCAGACTACATAAGTGTTAAGGCTCAAAAAACGGAAAGGAATTTACAGAAAGGACTCTGCTGACAATTAGAAAGAGGGCTTATAGGTCAGGTGCCATGGCTCACTCCTGTAATCACCCAGCACTTTGGGATGCCGAGGTGGGTGGATCACAAGGTGAGGAGTTCGAGACCAGCCTGGCCAACATGGTGAAACCCCCATCTCTACTAAAAAAATACAAACAATTAGCCGGGCATGGTGGTGTATGCCTGCAATCCCAGCTACTCGGGAGGCTGAGGTAGGAGAATTGCTTGAACCCGGGAGGCGGAGGTTGCAGTGAGCTGAGATCGCACCACTGCACTCTAGCCTGGGTGACAGAGCAAGACTCTGTCTCAATAAAATTAAAAAAAAAAAAAAGAGGGTTTATAAATATAAACGTTTGTTTTCACATGTAGTTTATTTATTTAAAAAAATAGAGACAGGGGTCTTGCTATGTTGACCAGGCTAGATATGAACTCTTGGGCTCAAGCGATCCTCCTGCCTCAGCCTCCCGAGTAGCTGGGACTACAGGCGCACGCCACTGTGCCCGGCTAGTTTACTTCTTTCAGAACATTTGTTATCAGCAAATTTAAACATTTCAACAAATATTTCAGTTTCCATTTGGAAACAAAATTCTTGTTTGAAAAGCTGACTGGAAACCTGTGAGAATGGGAGTTCCACCCTCCTGTGGGGATGGAGGTTGAAACAGCACCAGAGGCTTCAAGACCAGTCTCCTCTCATTTCGGGGCAGTAAGATACATTTAGCTTACTTAAACAGACTGTGCTGGCAGAGCAAGTCAGTGGCAGAGCTGAAGTTCAGCATTGTCCTGTGGAACTCCTGGATTTTTCTCTTAATTTGCTTCATGGCAGGAGTGTTACATTTAGTCTTGAAGGTCATTTGTTTCAGCATCTTGTCTGTCAGGTAATGTAACCAGAGCACATTACTATAAGGGTGATATTCACCCCAGCGGTTGTTATTCTCCTTCTTCATGAGCCTGTAGATGTCAAACTGGTAGTCACCGTCACCGGTAAACAGGTCCTCATCCATGGAAACGTCACAGAAAACCACAATCCCATCCCGTTCCAAGCGCGACAGGGTGTAGTCAATGATGCTCACTTGCAACCCACAGCTGGGGATAGTGCTGCTCTTCCCATTGAGGGTGTAGTGGAGTTTTTTGAGGCTGGTTTTCTTTAAGAGCACGTTCCCCCAGTGTAAGTCTCGGTGCTCAAAGCGCAGTGATGCCTCTGCCACTGCGAGGGAGGCTGTGAGCTGGTGTAGAATGCTCTTTGCAGTAGCCAAGGAAGACAACTTGGTTCGCATTTGCTCTAAGTCAATCCCTCCAAACTCAAATTCCAGCACAATGAAGAGCTGGTCGTCTTTAAAAAAATCAGGCCGGTCATTTGCAGAGCCTTTGGTTGAATTATAGTGATCCCAGGCTTTGAGGAGCAAGGGAGGGTAAGATCCCTGGACACAGTGCACTGAGTTCAGCCCGATAAAGCCTTCTGTGCGGTTGCACACTTCACCGGATAAGAGGCTCAACTCTTTGGAGATGATGATCTCTGGCAGGATTTCCTCAAAGGTTTTCTGATGGGATCCATTGACTAAATCTGGTCCTTCAATAGCAATGATTTTTATGGCTACGGGTGTGTGATCAGCAATTGTTTGAAACACTTCGCCAAACACCCCTTCCCCAATCTTCTCACAGCGTTGCAGTTTTTCTGTGGGAAGGCAATGGCTAAAGGGGACAGGACCCTTCTGACTGCATTCCCCATAAACCTTTTCAGCATCAGATGCCTTTTTGTTTGAAATACTTAGAGTGTTTAAGGGGCTTAGCAAATACATAGAGGAGGAGTGCCAAGAGGACGGAGCACCACTTGTTCTGTTCATGACAGGCCGGTTTGAACATTCTGATAGGAGGGATCCAGAGAGAGAAGTGGCAGTGGTATAGATGCTGCAGACCTCTGACACATCAGTCACAATTTTCTTCTTGTGGAAACTGAAGGAAGCCCTGGTTTTGGTCCAAAAGCAGACATTCTGTAAAGGAGTCAGGTCCTGGGTGGGGAACGAATCTTTTCCCAGCTTTTGGCCCTTTTTAAAGCGGTGGGAATGGAGGAGAGAGGTTTCCGTTGCCTCCTGATGTTTGCTCTTCCGGCTTGATCTAGTTCTCTCCAGCCTGTCTATTCCCCTTGGCACAATGCGGCCCTTGGGAACACTGGCCTCCTGATGCTCTCTCCGGACGGCCTCTTGAAGCCCTCTCTCTTGACAAGAGTCCTGGCCTGTGGCCCTCCTCTTGCCTGTGCTTGACAGACCTGGACCCTCTGGTCCATTTCCCACCACCAGTTTCCTTTTACAGCAGGACTCTCTCATATTCTTCCCATCTGCCCGAAACTCAGAATCCTCAGGGGTTCCTGAGTTCATAAGGCCAAAGAGAACTGACCTGAGGCTGGCGCGGGTTTGGTGGACCATCCTGGTGTCCTTGGCTCCTCCTGTCGCTTCCTCCTGGGAGCAGGGGAGAGATGCTCGGTCCAGGGAGACTTCTGGGAGGTGGAGGCCGCTCGGGACGGCTGAGGCTGCAACCAGACAGGCGGAGGTGCCGATCGAGATGACACTGTCCCTTGGCGTTGGGGACCCGGGGCAGGGCGAGGCCAGAGAGCTGAACAGGGAGGCACTGATGCCCAGCTCGTCGCCGTCCCTGGGCTGGCCGCACACGCTGAGGTCCGGGCTGAGGCGGCCGGAGTCGCGGCTGGGGAAGGGCGGAAGTCGGAGCGGGCCGCAGGGTGTGCTGCACTTCTGCGGGGGCCGAGCTCGCAGCCCCAGGCGTCTTGGGGTCACGGTTAGGCTTGGGCGAGCTCGCAGCTTCCAGCGCTTTGGGGTCACGGTCAGGCTGGGCCGGTCCTTGGGCACTCGGCCGCCGGGACGCCTCCGCCGCCGCCTCACCGGGCTGCCGGGGAAGTCGGGGTCGTCGGGATCGTCAGGATCGTCGGACTGCGAGGGGTCGCCGATGCTGGCGTCGCTGCTGCCGCTGCTGTTGAAGAAACGCCTCCGGTCCTGCGGCGGGAACCACTGCGCGGCTTCCCGGCCCGGCCGCCGCTGTCTCCTGCCGTCCGCAGCCCCATATGTGCGGAAAAGCCGGCTCCCAGGTCCCGGGAGCGAAGCCGCCATGGCCGGCACCCGCCAAGAGGTTCAAACGCAAACATCGCGAGACTTCCGTGCGACGCGGACGCGCCCGCCTGCCGCGGGGTCCTAGCTCCCGGCCCTGCGCATGCGCACCTCGCCAGGGCCGGGGCCGGGACGGGACGGAAAACTGGCGGCTTGGTTTGTTCAGCGCGTCGCGGTCATGGCTCTCGTTTCAGGCCTCCACGGTGTGCACCTGGAGTCAGGAGCGCGCTTGTGCGTACAGTTCGGTTCAGGTAAGCGCGGCCGTCCCGAGAGGCCAGGGGAGGGCGGAGGGCCTGAAGCGGGTAACGAGAGGCCAGGAGACTGTTTTTCCTGGGTTACCCCTGCCGGCCAGTGCCGGGGGCTGCCAGGCCCTCCCTAGCTTCGTCCCTGGGTCTCAATTGCTCCCGCTGGAGCTTCGCTTGGGCCGAGGTGAGCGCTGAAATTGCTCACACCCTCTATTCTGGGACCTTACGATGCTCTGTGTCCGAAGTGTTAAAAAGATTTCAGACTTTCCGCACGGAAAGGAATTGTGTTCACTAGACCTCGCTTTTCCAGCATGTGGAAGAATGGCATTCAGTGAGCTGTGTCATCGCTTCAGATAAAGAAAATGTCACCGTGGCTGCAGAGATCTCCTGGGATCACTCTGAGGAGGTGTTTGAGACTGAAATGCTCCAGATTTGATTATCCAGTTGCTCACGGGCATCGCCCCTAGAAGAGATAATAGCATCTTTGCATAACATGTCCATGTCCAAAATAGATCTTTTGGTGCAAAAAACCAACCCTCTGTCCCAACCCGTTCCTTAGCTACCCTCAGGAGGGAGATATACTCCAGTTACAGTACAAGGAACTCGAGGGATTACCTGTGACTCCTCTTTCCTACATCCCCACGTCTATTCCAGCAGCAAGCCCTGCCATTTCAGGGCCAAAATATATCCTAAACCCATTCACTTCTCTCCATTTCCACTGCCGTTGTAATTCAAGCTACCCTTTCTTGCCAGGGCTGTTGCAATAACCTTCGGCCTGCCTTTCTTGCCTCTGCTTTTCCCACATTCTTTACAAATAATTCCCACGTAACAGCTATCCGTCTTCTAAGAGCAGACATTAGATTGTGCCATTCCCCTGCTTATTAAAAATAACAAACAAACAAAACTGATGCTTGAGCACACTTAGACTAAAATCCATACTTTTTTCATGGCCAGAGCAAGGCAGTACTTGATCTGGTCTCTGCTTAATTCTTCAACTTCATCTCCTAGTACTCGCCTTTCTCTCCCACTGCCCCTTTTATAATCGGGTTATTCTGTCCTATTCTTCTAGCTCGCCAGTACAGCATTATTCTGGCCACAAGACTTTGTACTTGCTGTTCCTTTGCTTGACACTGCTCTTCCTCTAGGTCCTGACGTAGGTGGTTTCTTCTTAAATTTAGCTCAGGTGTTCTTTTCTTTTTTTTTTTTTTTTTTTTAGATGGAGTCTTGCTCTGTCACCCGGGCTGGAGTGCAGTGGCACGATCTCTACTCACTGCAACCTCCGCCTCCCGGGTTCAAGTGATTCTCCTGCCTCAGCCTCCCGAGTAGCTGGGATTACAGGCGCCGGCGACCACGCCCAGCTAATTTTTGTATTTTTAGTAGAGAGGGGGTTTCACCATGTTGGCCAGGCTGGTCTCGAACTCCTGACCTCAGGTGATCGCCCGCCTCAGCCTCCCAAAGTGCTGGGATTACAGGCGTGAGCCACCGCACCCGACCTAGGTGTTCTTTTCTTTTCTTTTCTTTCTTTCAAGACGGAGTTTCGCTCTTGTTGTGCAATGGCACGATCTCGGCTCACTGCAACCTCCGCCTCCCGGGTTCAAGCGATTCTCCTGCCTCAGCCTCCCAAGTAGCTGGGATTACAGGTATGCGCCACCATACCCGGCTAATTTTGTATTTTTAGTAGAGATGGGGTTTCTCCATGTTGGTGAGGCTGGTCTTGAACTCCTGACCTCAGGTGATCCGCCCTCCTTGGCCTCCCAAAGTGCTGGGATTACAGGCGTGAGCCACCACGCCCGGCTAATTTTGTATTTTTAGTAGAGATGGGGTTTCATCGTGTTGGTCAGGCTGGTCTTGAACTCCTGACCTCAGATGATCTACCCACCTCAGCCTCCCGAAGTGCTGGGATTACAGGCATGAGCCACCACACCCGGCCACACGTGTTATTTTCTTAGAGAGGCCTTCCCTGATCACTTATTCTAAAGTGGGAACTAGTGATCAAGTGATCAAGTTTAATGTTTTACAGTGATCCAGGTGACATTTGTGAGGTCTCAACTGAAGAAGTAGCAATGGGGGTGGAAAAGAAAGGGACAGATACAAGAAATAATTTAAAAAAAAAGAATTGTGAGTGTGGTGGCTCACATCTGTCATCCCAACACTTTGGGAGGCTGAGGCGGGAGGATTGCTTGAGGCCAGGAGTTCAAGATCAGCCTGGGCAGCATAGTGAAACCCCATTTCTTAAAAATAAATAAATACATAAATTAGCCACGCATGGTGGCTCATGCCTGTAGTCCCAGCTACTTGGGAGGCTGAGGCAGGAGTATCGTTTGAGCCCAGGAATTTGAAGCTTCAGTGAGCTATGATTGAGCCACTCCATTCCGGCCCGAGTAACAGAGTGAGACCTTGTCTCAAAAAAAAAAAAAAAAAAAAAAAAAAAAAGGAAAAATCTCTTACGTTAAATAAAATGAATAAGCTGGGTGTGGTGGCTCATGCCTGTAATCTCAGCACTGTGGGAGGCTAAGGTGGGTGGATTGCTTGAGCCCAGGAGTTTGAGACCAGCCTGGGCAACATGGTAAAACCCCATCTCTACAAAAAATACAAAAATTAGCCCAGTGTGGTGGGGTGCACCTGTGGTCTCAGCTACTCAGGAGACTGAGGTGGGAGGATCACTTGAGCCTGGAAGGTTGAGGCTATAGTGACCCATGATCATGCCATTGCACTCCAGCATGGGTGACAGAGCGAGATCCTGTCTCAAAAATAAGTCAGTCAGTCAAGAACTGACTTTGGATGGCACAAGGGAAAAGAAGTTGAAGAAAAGGCCAGGCGCGGCAGCTCACGCCTGTAATCCCAGCACTTTGGGAGGCCGAGGTGGGTAGATCATCTGAGGTCAGGAGTTCGAGACAAGCCTGGCCAACATGGCAAAACCCCATCTCTACTAAAAATACAAAAATTAGCCTGGCATGGTGGCACATGCCCATAATTCCAGCTACTCGGGAGGCTAAGGCAGGAGAATCGCTTGAACCTGACGGGGTGGAGGTTGCAGTGAGCCGAGATCGCACCACTTCACTCCAGCCTGGGCGAAAGAGCGAAACTCCATCTCAAAAAAAAAAAAAAAGGAAGTTGAAGAATAACTGCAGATGTCTTGTTTGGGTAACTTTATGTAGTGTTGTGTACGTTAGGGCCATTAACTAAGCCCAGGAATACCTTTAAAGGGAAAGGTGGTGAAGGCTGTTCAAACACAGTGAGTTCATGTCTAAAATATGTTTTGTTTCCCTCATTCCTTTCCCCATCTTCTAGTTACTAAAAGATGTAACTGAACTGCAGATCCTTGGTGAAATATCTTTCAACAAATCTCTATATGAGGGACTGAATGCAGAGAACCACAGAACTAAGGTAATTCCTGGCTGGCTTCTGAGTAGTGCCCAAGGAAAATTGTGCCTAACCTTTGAGCACCTCCACAGACATTCTGTTGCCCTCTTCCTGTTTTCAGCCTTAACACTTCTGATCTTGGCTCTGCCATCGCTGCCTTTGTGACCTTTGAGTGAGTCAGCTTCTTATGAAATAAGGCAATTAAGAGGCCTAAGCTGAGGAGTTCTGAGTTGAAATAACTAGGCTGGAATCTGCAGTATATACTTTGATTTGAAAATGGATTGATTAAAAAAAAAAATTTCGCAGCTGGGCGCAGGTGGCTCACGCCTGTAATCCTAGCACTTTGGGAGGCCGAGACAGGTGGATCACCTGAGGTCAGAAGTTCAACACAAGCCTGGCCAACATGGAGAAACCCTGTCTACCAAAAATACAAAAATTAGCCGGACATGATGGTGGGTGCCTGTAATCCCACCTACTTGGGAGGCTGAGGCACGAGAATCGCTTGAATCTGGGAGGCAGAGGTTGCAGTGAGCCGAGATCACACCACTCCACTCCAGCCTCAGTGATAGAGTGAGACTCAGTCTCAAAAAATAAATAAATAAATAAAAAATGAATTACCTAAGTGAGAAATTGTTTTTTGTATCCAGTAACTGTCTTAGTGTGCTGTATCAGTGTTTAGTTATAGTATTAAACAGTACTCAGGAATGCATAAATCTTTTATAAGATTTAGACTAGATACTGGAACTCTTGGAATTCTTTTTGCAAAAGTATGACTAGAAGTCAGACTGATGCCTGTGATTTGTGGACTGAATGCTTTGTGTGTTACCCTGTGTTTTCATTCTTGTTGACCCTTGCCTGGACATGGCTTCAGAGGTGATCTATCTGTGAGCTCTGAGCTCTTTAGTTAGGCATGATTCTCTACTAGAGGGAATGTCAGGAGAGTGATGCTGGATTGCTAAATATAAGGTCCTCTGTTTTCCTCCCTGGAGGAGGAGAAAGGAGCAATTCTCTAGACATGCCAATATAACATTTCCTTTTATTTTTAAGTAGTGTATTTCTTTTTCTTTTCTTTTCTTTTTTTTTTTTTTTTTTTTTGAGGAAGAATCTCACTGTGTCGCCCAGGCTGGAGTCCGTTGGTGCCATCTCGGCTCACTGCAACCTCCACCTCCCCAGTTCAAGTGATTCTTCTTCCTCAGCCTCCCGAGTAGCTGGGATTACAGGTGCCCACCACCATGCCTGGCTAATTTATTTATTTTTTTTAAATAGAGACAGGATTTCACCATGTTGGCCAGGCTGGTCTCGAACTTCTGACCTCAGGTGATCTGCCCGCCTTGACCTCCCAAAGTGCTGGGATTACAGGCATGAGCCACCATGTCCGGCTAAGTAGTGTATTTCTAATACAGAAAATAGAGGGAAATGGAAAATACAGAAAACGGAAGAAATAGAAGTGCCCCATTATTGCACTGCCCAGATTTTAACAAATAAAAATAATAGCAAGAAAATCCAAGCCATACAGAGAATGGTACCAAATGAAAAATAATTGTTCCTTCATTTCTCCCTTCCCATGCCCCCAGCAGGGAGGAGTTACTATTAAGTTTCTTATGTGCACATTTTAAATTTGTATGTTTCCCCCTCTTACTTACTGATACTTTTATTTCTATAGCATGGATTCCCCAAAATTCCTTTCTTTAAATCCAATATCCTAAGCAAAGTGTTAAGTAGTTCCTGACAATAAGCCCCTGACTTACAGTGACTCTATGAGTATAAACAAACTGTATCCAAATGCATTTCAGCCACAAGAAAGGGAAAATCCAGCTCATGCAGCATAAGGGCATATGCTGTTTATCCAGTGAGGGAGGCCGGCCTGGGGCGATGGCCTGGCTTCTTTGGTCCTTGTACTCTGCCGTGTGGGGGACGCATTCCTTCATGGCCAGCACAAAGTTGCCACATCTCCAAATGCTGTATTTTCACATGGCAGGATACAAAACAGGAAGCAAGAAGTCAGTAGCAAAAGGATGTTGGATTTTTCTTCATGTGCCTTCCCTTTTCAGGGATGAAACAGTTTCCAAAAGCTCCCAGGAGACATCCTCTTACATCTTATTAGTGAGATCTGAATCTCATGTCAGTCACTGGCAAAGGAGAATAGCTGTGTCATGATCACCTGAGACCAACGATGATTCCTGAATAAAATCCAAAAGGAGAGAGGGGCCCCTGGGCAGGCCAGCATCCGTGTTTGCTGCAAACAGTAGTACCCGGTGCCTTGCTTCTCCCTTAACCTCTACTTGGGCATCTTTGGGGCACTTTTGGGAATCTGTGGGTTTAGAAGAAGATAAAGGGAGGTGGCTTTGAGAAATAGGGACATTTCTTCTACTCACATCTGGCCTGTTTCCCGAGTCACCTTGGGACTTCCTTTCACTTCCCAAACCCAGGGTCTTGAGTCCCCCTCCTTCTCCTGTAGAATATTCCAGCCCTCTTTCTGTTCTTCCTCCCTCTTTGTTGCTATGGTACCTCCCTATTCTCAAAGCCTAGGACTTCACTCCTATTTAGTTCAGCTACCTATGAGCTAAATAGGACTGGAAGGTCAACTTTAGGTCAACCAGCATTTATAACTTAATTGGAAGAGGCCTTAAAGGTAAGTTTGTCCAGCCCTTCACCCCGTACAGAAACCTCTCCAAAGCACCCCTGACCTTGGTGCTTAAACATACACGTGAAGGGTTGCTCTGGGCAGGCAGAGAAGTCTTGTTGGCTCTCTGGCCCCACCTAAGTCCTGGGAACTTCCTCTGGCCACAACTTGGAAGGGCCATACCTGGGTCTCAGGAAGGACATCTCCTGAACTTTCTAGCTGAGCCCTGCCAGAAGAGAGATTAGACTCCCGAAATTGGGAGAGCCTTTGGAAAACAAAACCTGCGGATGACTTCTAATAGCTGAGCTCTGCAAGTAGTACACATGGATATAATTTGCATTTATTATGTCCCTTAGGTAATACACACTTTTTAGTCTGGTGAGGGGAAGACCAGTACTTTTGTCATATTTTATGTGGGGAAAGTGTATTACCAAAGCCTTTAGGGATCTGTGCAAGATCAAAAAGAGCCGTCAGAACGGAGTTGGAAAGGACTTGGAGATCATTTAAAGGAAGTCATCATTTTAAAGAGCATAGGCACGGGGCTCAGGGACATAGAGCAGTGTAGCGGCGTGACAGCCTCACAGTCCTGTGTTGAGACCGGATTCCGTGGGACCCTCTTTCAAGCTGTCAGAGCATCTTTAACAGAAGGTCATAATCTCCTGACAGACCTAGCCCTTCTAGATAAGGGGCCAGAATAGTTTCTTACGAAGTATTTGGGTGATTGGATAGTTTTAGATGATCTAAAATGCTGCATCAGGGAATATCTAGCTTTTTGCTTTACTGTCATCAGCTTTGATCAATACACGGGTTGTTGCCAAGTCCTCGTATTTTGCTCCTTAAAATAACATGTAGGATTTTTTCCTTGTTTGCTTCACCTGATTTATTGGGCGATCTCTTTGTCTTGTCTAGATCACTGTCGTCTTCCTGAAAGATGAGAAGTACCATTCTTTGCCTATCATCATTAAAGGCAGCGTTGGTGGACTTCTGGTGTTGATCGTGATTCTGGTCATCCTGTTCAAGGTCAGTTCTACTCATGGCATCACAGTGAGGGAAGACTGGGCTCTAGTTTTGGGCACAGAACTCCTTAGGACAGCCAACCTCTGACTTAGAGCAGCTGCCCTGGCCTCGTGGCCACTTTTTTCTCCTCCTTCAACTGCACACCCCCATTTAGACAAATGAGTAAAACAGTATCTGTCTGAAAAGAGAAAACTCTGAGTTATAAAGAGTGATTTTATATATATTTCTTTGGTACCTCCCTATTCTCAAGGCCCAGAACTTAATACTGTTATGTTCGGTTACCTGTGAGTTCAATAGGGCCTGGAAGGTCAACCCTAGGCCAGCATTTATAACTTACTTGGAAGAGGCCTTAACGGTAAGGCCTTAAAACAGATGTGACTGTTGTTCCCCTGTTGAAATCTTTTCCTTGCCTTCCCCTGTCTTAATGTGCAAACTCTTCTACTGCTATTTAAGATCCTCTCCTCTCTGTCCGCTACCCGTCTCTGCCCTTAAGTGTTGCTTTTTTTTCTTTTTTTTTTTTGAGACGGAGTTCCGCTCTTTCGCCCAGGCTTGAGTGCGGTGGTGCGATCTCGGCTCACTGCAACCTTCCCTTCCCCCCACCCTGACCCCGGGTTCAAGAGATTCTCCTGCCTCAGCCTCCTGAGTAGCTGGGATTACAGGAATGTGCCACCATGCCTGGCTAATTGTTTTGTATTTTTAGTAGAGACGGGGTTTCACCATATTGGCCAGGCTGGTCTCAAACTCCTGACCTTGTGATCCTCCCGCCTCGGCCTCCCAAAGTTCTGGGATTACAGTCATGAACCACCACTCCCAGCCTCTTTTTTAAAAATAAACACCAGGGTCTTTGTCCCCCAAGCTGGAGCTCAGTGGCACAGTTAAGGGCTCACTGCAGCCTCGTACTCCTAGGCTCAGGTGATCCTCCCATCTTAGTCTCCTGAGTAACTGGGACTGTTACTCAGGTGCATGCCACCACACCCAGCTAATTTTTTAATTTTAATTTTGTGGAGATGAGGTCTCCCTATATTGCCCAGGCTGGTCTCAAACTCCGGGGCTCGAGCCATCTTCTCATCTTGGCCTCCCGAAGTGGTGGGGTTACAGGCATAAGCACCTGACCTTGCTTTTTTCTCCCAACAAGTCAAACTATTCCCTAAATAGGTTCGTGCCTCTGCGTACGCGTAGGCTGCTTTTCTTGTCAGGAATGCCCTCCATGACTGCTCACTTCACTCACTGTCTTCCCTGAAAGCGGTCTAGAGACTCCTGAGTCCTCTGTGCTGGCTTCTGTGTGTTTGCTGTGAGCTCCCTTCTAGAAACCCTTCCAAATGGCAGTCATCACACTGTGTTGTAATTATCTCTTTTTCCTACTAGATGATGAGCTTGATGTAGGAAGCTGTACTTGATCTCCTTCTGTCTTCAGCATCATAGGCTATACTGAGTATTTTTGCATAAATAAGATTAGATCCAGTACA
Source organism: Homo sapiens (assembly GCF_000001405.40). Taxonomy (NCBI): domain Eukaryota; kingdom Metazoa; phylum Chordata; class Mammalia; order Primates; family Hominidae; genus Homo; species Homo sapiens. The sequence goes on along the minus strand of NC_000017.11, from coordinate 3,715,224 downwards.
GCCGAAATTATCATGCTTTGCAAAATAAGTTAAAAAGGTTCAGCTGCTCGGGAGAGCAGGGTTCAGAGGAAGGTGGAGTCAGTTCTGATTGAGGGATGAGCACCAGAGGTCTTGAAGGATTGGACTCTCCAGGAGAGATTCAGAGTAAGTTAGGAGAAGGGAGTAGTAAGTATGAGAAGCAGAGGAATATAGGGGCTATTTAGGCAACAGCCAGAATGCCGGTTTTCTGAAACAGATGGCTATCTTTGGCCTGTAACTGGACTTTTCCTTCCTTTGTTTCAGTGTGGCTTTTTTAAAAGAAAATATCAACAACTGAACTTGGAGAGCATCAGGAAGGCCCAGCTGAAATCAGAGAATCTGCTCGAAGAAGAGAATTAGGACCTGCTATCCACTGGGAGAGGCTATCAGCCAGTCCTGGGACTTGGAGACCCAGCATCCTTTGCATTACTTTTTCCTTCAGGATGATCTAGAGCAGCATGGAGCTGTTGGTAGAATATTAGTTTTTAACCATACATTGTCCCAAAAGTGTCTGTGCATTGTGCAAAAAGTAAACTTAGGAAACATTTGGTATTAAATAAATTTACACTTTTCTTTGCAGTAGTGCCTTTAATCTGGAAATACAGTATTACTTAGGATTTGCAGTACATTTTGCCTGATAGGGCAAGTTTTCATTCTTATTTTTAAAAAATGATAGATTGTGGCCGGGCATGATGGCTCACGCCTGTAATCCCAGCACTTTGGGAGGCTGAGGCAGGCAGATCACGAGGTCAAGAGATCGAGACTATCCTAGCCAACATGGTGAAACCCCATCTCTACTAAAAATACAAAAATTAGCTGGGCATGGTGGCGGGTGCCTGTAGTCCCAGCTACTCAGGAGGCTGAGGCAGGAGAATCATTTGAACCTGGGAGGCGGAGGTTGCAGTGAGCCGAGATCGTGCCACTGCACTCCAGCCTAGCAACAGAGTGAGACTCCATCTCAAAAAGAAAAAAACAAAATAGGCGGGGTGCGGTGGCTCACGCCTGTAATCCCAGCACTCTGAGAGGCTGAGGCAGGTGGATCACGAGGTCAGGAGATGGAGACCATCCTGGCTAACACGGTGAAACCCCGTCTCTACTAAAAATAAAAAAAATTAGCCGGGTGCGGTGGCAGGTGCCTGTAGTCCCAGCTACTCGGGAGGCTGAGGCAGGAGAATGGCGTGAACCTGGGAGGCAGAGCTTGCAGTGAGCCAAGATCACGCCATTGCACTCCAGCCTGGGCAAAAGAGCAAGACTGTCTCAAAAAAAAATTATCGATTGTATCCTTTCAGATAATTCTTAAGTATCAATTTTTCAGATTTCCAGAAGAAACTCTTTGGGGTTTTAATTTAAACATACAGGTTAAGTTTGGGAGCATTGATATCTTTATAGATTTCCTTTCTACTCCGCTTGCTGCGATTTATTTTTTAATTTTTATTTTACTTTATTTTTTTTTTTTGAGACAGAGTTTTGCTCTTACTGCCCAGACTGGTGTGCAATGGTGTGATCTTGGCTCACCGCAACCTCCGCCTCCCGGGTTCAAGCGATTCTCCTGCCTCAGCCTCCTGAGTAACTGGGATTACAGGCATGCGCCACCACGCCCAGCTAATTTTGTATTTTTAGTAGAGATGGGGTTTCTCCATGTTGGTCAGGCTGGTCTCAAACTCCTGACTTCAGGTGATCCACCTGCCTCAGCCTCCCAAAGTGCTGGGATTACAGGCATGAGCCACCGCGCCTGGCAATGCTGAGATTTTTAAAAACACTCTGCAGCAAGGTTTTATAATTTTCTTCAAAGGGGTCTTAATTTATAAAGACTTACTTCCAGCTGCATTTTTATTTGTTTATTTATTTTGGGGGGGTCTCACTGTGTTGCCCAGGCTGGAGGGCAGTGATGCAGTCATAGGTTGCTGCAGCCTTGAACTTTTGGGTTCAAGCCGTCCTCTGCCTCAGCCTCCTGCGTAGCTGGGACTACAGGTGCAAGCCACTATGCCCGGCTCATTTTTTAATTTTTCTTTTGTAGAGATGGGATCTAGCTATGTTGACCAAGCTGATTTCAAACTCCTGGCTTCAAGTGATCCTCCTGCCTTAGCCTCTGAAAGTGTTGGGGCGTGAGCCACTGCGCCTGACCTGTTATTATGCTTTTGTTGCTACTGTGTGAAAATACCGTTTTTTCCCCCGACTGTTTAGAGTTTGCACTTAGAACAGTTGGTGGTTTTGAATGTTTATCTTATCTGGCCATTTTACTGAACTGTGGTTTTGTTTTTTTGGAGACGGAGTCTCACTCTGTCGCCCACGCTGGAGTGCAGTGGTGTGATCTCTGCTCACTGCAACCTCCGCCTCCCGGGTTCCAGCAATTCTCCTGCCTCACCCTCCCGAGTAGCTGGGACTACAGGGACCCACCACCATGCCCAGCTAATTTTTGCACTTTTAGTAGAGATGGGGTTTCACCATGTTAGGCTGGTCTCGAACTCCTGACCTCAGGTGATCCACCCGCCTCAGGCTCACAAAGTGCTGGGATTACAGGCATGAGCCAAATCCGGGCCCGGCCAAACTGTTTTTAAATCACTCTTTAGTTGATTCTTTGGGATTTTTCTAAGGAGACAATTTTATTTGCAAATAATGGCAATTTGGAGTCTTTCTGATATTTCTACTTTTGGCTACCCTTACTTCTTTGACTAGGACGTGGAGAGCTCTGAGAAGTAAACCGTGTACCTGGTTGTAATGGGAGGGCTTTTCTGGCCCTCCTCTGCCTGCCTCACACCTGCCTGTTATCCCAGCCCCGGCTGCTCTGCCTTTGGGTAGTTTCTAGGGCTTGGTTGGAGCAGCCCATTCACCTCTCATGGAGCCCCGTACCTTGCCAGTGTTACATCACTAGGCTGTTGGGCACCATCTGCTTCCCTGTTGATCTGATTCCATCATCTTCATTTCGTTCAGAAATCCGTCTGTGCTATCGGTCACTTGATGATATTGTTCTCTGTTTTCCAATGCTGCCACAGGCTTTTCCCCTTCCTTGTAACTCTTGGGTTGTTTCAGTGGAATTTGCCTTTGAGGGAAAACACACAGGTAAGTTTGCTTACTTATTTTCCTGTTGTGCTCAGGAGTTGTGTCCAAGTTTTCATATTATATAAAAGCCCCTGCTTTTTATACTTTTTAAAATTGCAAATAAGACCCCACTTCCATCGTCACTGGGAAGCCTGTTTGTTATTGACTTACTGAGTCGTGCTGATCCAATTGGCGTTAGAGCAAGGCAGCTGTAATCGGGGGAACTACATCAGGAACTACTTAATGAGGAGGAAGACACTTTTAAGTGCGACATGGTTAGATTTTACAAATTCATATGCTATGGCTTGGGCCAAGGTCTGTGGCATACACCTGTAGTCCCAGCTACTCAGGAGGCTGAGGCATGAGAATCGCTTGAACCCAGAAGGCAGAGTTTGCAGTGAGACGAGATCGTGCCACTGCACTCCAGCCTGGGCAACAGAGCGAGACCCTGTCTCAAAAAAATAAATAAATAAATAAATAATGAGGCCGGGCGCAGTGGCTCACGCCTGTAATCCCAGCACTTCGGGAGGCGCCGACGTGGGCAGATCACCTGAGGTCGGGAGCTTGAGAGCAGCCTGACCAACATGGAGAAACCCCATCTTCATTAAAAATACAAAATTAGCTGGGCGTGGTGGTGGGTGCCTGTAATCCCAGCTACTCTGGAGGCTGAGGCAGGAGAATCGCTTGAACCCGGGAGGCAGAGCTTGCAGTGAGCCAAGATCGCGCCACTGCACTCCAGCCTGGGTGACAGAGCGAGACTCCGTCTCAAAAAAAAAAAAAAAAAAAAAAAAAAAAAAGAATGAGTGCTGGGCTCAGCCCTGTGGAGTAACCTTTTCTCGTAATTGAATGAGGTCTAAATAACGTGGCCAATTTAGGTTTTCACACCTGCTTGGTTTCATTGGTTTCATCCCTCCAAAGTTCAGATGGTATCATGAGAGAAACAGGTTATTCGAATCTGCACTCACTATCCTGTACCAGGGCAAAGGAGAACAGAAAGCACATGGGGTACTTTCCCAGCCGGTCTTTCTTCTACAAGCTGCCTTTTAGGTGCTAGGCCTTTCTCATTTCCTTTTCACCCTCTGCCTGGGACAGGAAATGGTAGAGCTTGCATAGATCCAAGAACAGTGAGTCATGCCATAGGGCCACTCTGCTACCCAGAAAAGGACTGAGCTGGGACCCGCTGAACTTTGGATGCAGTTATTGGAGGGAACAGCAGTTTTTTTTGTTTTGTTTTGTTTTTTTGAGACAGGGTCTCGCTCTCGTTCATGCTGGAGTGCAGTGGTGCGATCTCGGCTCATTGCAACCTCCGCCTTCTGGGTTCAATCGATTCTCATGCCTCAGCTTCCTAATTAGCTGGGACTGCAGGTGCATGCCGCCACGCCCAACTAACTTTTGTATTTTTAGTAGAGATGGGGTTTCACCATGTCGGCCAGGCTGGTCTTGAACTCCCGACTTCAAGTGATCCGCTCACCTCGGCTTCCCAAAGTGCTGGGATTCCAGGCGTGAGTTGCCACGCCCGGCCTCCTGCTGTCTTAAATAATCTGCACTACTGCATTATTCTGTGCACATCTCTAATACATTTACAAGGAGGGGTTTTTGGTTAAGATTTTCTGGGTCTTCTAGTCATAATTATATTATAATGGCACCAGAATTTTACCATTACTTGAACTAGGAACAGATTCAGTATATGGAATCAAGGGAAACTTTCATTTTATTAATTTATTTATTTATTTATTTATTTGAGATAGAGTCTTGCTCTTTCTCCCAGGCTGGAGTGCAGTAGCATGATCTCGGCTCACTGCAACCTCCGCCTCCCAGGTTCAATCGATTCTCATGCCTCAGCTTCCTGAGTAGCTGGGACTGCAGGTGCATGCCACCACACCAAACTAATTTTTGTATTTTTAGTAGAGACTGGGTTTCACCATGTTGACCAGGCTGGTCTTGAACTCCCGACTTCAAGTGATCCGCTCACCTCGGCTTCCCAAAGTGCTGGGATTCCAGGCGTGAGCCGCCACGCCCGGCCTCCTGCAGTCTTAAATAATCTGCACTACTGCATTATTCTGTGCACATCTCTAATACATTTACAAGGAGGGGTATTTGGTTAAGATTTTCTGGGTCTTCTAGTCATAATTATATTATAATGGCACCAGAATTTTACCATTACTTGAACTAGGAACAGATTCAGTATATGGAATCAAGGGAAACTTTCATTTTATTAATTTTTGTTTGTTTTGTTTTGTTTTTCTTTGTTTGTTTTTTGAGACAGAGTCTCGCTCTTTCGCCCAGGCTGGGGTGCAGTAGCATGATCTCGGCTTACTGCAAACTCCGCCTCCTGGGTTCAAGCGATTCTCCTGCCTCAGCCCCCCGAGTAGCTGGAACTACAGGCACCCGCCACCATGCCCAGCTAATTTTTGCATTTTTAGTAGAGACGGGGTTTCACCATGTTAGGCTGGTCTCGAACTCCTGACCTCGTGATCCACCCACCTCAGCCTCCCAAAGTGCTGGGATTACAGGCTTGAGCCTCCACTGCACCTGGCTATTAAAATTTTTTAACTTTTACTTTTGGAGACTGGGGTCTCACCTTGTTACCCAGGCTGGACTTGAACTCCTGAGCTCAAGTGATCTGCAGTAGCTGGGACTAAGGGCATGTGCCACTGTGCCTGGCTTAGGGAAACTTAATCACTTCAGGAAGCATCGTCGTCCTAATAGCAGAGTTCAGGAGGATGCACCTAAATTGACAATTCCCAACTTCGGTTGACTTGCTTTGTTTTTTTATTAGTGGGAGCAAATTTTGTAAAGTACATGAGTAATAGGTACATTTCTCATAGTGAAATCAGTAAAAAGTGAAAATTTGCCTTTGTCGCAACCTTGCTTCATTCAATGCTCTTCCTCAGAGGCTGAGATGACCTGGTTTAACGTGTATCTTTCCAAACCCATATTCTGAGCCGGGCACTTTGGGAGGCCGAGGTGGGTGGATCACCTGAGGTCAGGAGTTCGAGACCAGCTTGCCCAACATGGTGACACCCTGTCTCTACTAAAAATGCAAAAATTAGCCTGGCGTTGTGGCAGGCGCCTGTAATCCCACCTCCTTGGGAGGCTGAGGCAGGAGAATCGCTTGAACACGGGAGGGGGATGTTGCAGTGAGCCAAGATTGTGCCATTGCACTACAGCCTGGGTGACAGAGCAAGACTCTGTCTCAAAAAAAAGAAAAGAAAGAAAACCAAACCATATTCTGTGCATCTCTAAGTATTTATATATATTTATATCTAAGTACAAAGGTTTTTTTTTTTGAGGGGGGTTGCATAAATAAGATGGTATCTTCTGCCATTTGTGACCGTTTTCAAGGAATGCATGTCAGAAGCTAAATGCTGCTGCTAAATGCTGGGGGTCAGGTGGGGGAATAGAGGGAAGGGTATCATCTTGGGCTAACATAATCTTTGGGGAATTAATCACAATTTGTAAAGAAGCCCTTTTAGCTTTTTCCAAGAGTGGAATTAAAAACTTTTTGTAATTGCTCTGCAGTGCCGAAGTGCTTTCCAGAAAGACCGGACCACTTTATGTGGTTATCAGCAGCGTGAACTTGTTCTGGAATCTCCATTTTTACTTAATTTGTTTGCTTAATGGGTATATAATTATAGTTTCAGTTTTACTTTTCTTTGACTGTTGGCAAGGCCATGTATTTTTCCATGAATTAAGATGACTTTTTTTTTTTTCCTCTATGCTTTTTCTTTCTTGTCCAGTTCAAACAACATGACCCTGGTATTTTCTCATTAGCTTTTTCTGAGCTGCTCCCTGCTTCTGGGGTAGAAGAGGTGCATTTCTACCTCTGAACTTCTGAGCCTTTGGGCAAGTAAGGGTGATTTGACTTTAATAGGATTAGAGAGCCATGTGCTCTCCAAAGTGGGGGAGCTAAGTCTTACAGATGAGGTGGTGGGCATTAGGAAGCAGCCGTCATCATTGGTGGTCTGTCTGAAAAACAGTCTTCCTAAGTACCACCAGGGAGAAGACAGGACCACGGTGCCCTTCCGCTTCTGGGAGAGGCCCTGCCCTTGCCCTCCCTCTGTCCCTGAGGAGGAGATTCCTGGTGTTTTTTTTTTTTTTTTTTTTTTTGAGACGGAGTCTCACTCTGTCACCCAGGCTGGAGTGCAGTGGCATGATCTCGGCTCACTGCAAGTTCCGCATCCCGGGTTCACGCCATTCTCCTGCCTCAGCCTCTCAAGTAGCTGGGACTACAGGCGCCCGCCACCAAGCCTGACTAATTTTTTGTATTTTTAGTAGAGACAGGGTTTCACCGTGTTAGCCAGGATGATCTCGATCTCCTGACCTCGTGATCCACCTGCCTCGGCCTCCCAAAGTGCTGGGATTACAGGCGTGAGCCACCGCGTCTGGCCGAGATTCCTGGTTAACCATCTCCTAGGACCCCGCAGCCAGTTGCAGTCCTGGGGGCACAGTAGTCAGGGGGACTGAAGGTGTGGTCTCTGTGGATGCCTCATCTTCTGTCCAGGGCCGAGAGGGGGGTCTGGACTAGTCCTTCCCAGAACTGCCAGACGTTTTCGAGCTCTTGGCTTTGGTTTCTCGGCGTGATCTTTCCTCTCTTTAGAGCTGTGAGATCTGAGGCTAAGGTTGGAGTGCTGGGATGAATGAGAGAAAACACCACTGGCTCACTTTGGTGCTGCAAACCTTTTTGATTTCTTAGTCTGGCAAAAGGCTGCCAGCCTAAGTGGAATTGGGATACCCAGGCCTGGGGTCTTTTGGCTCCCGGATGAAGAACTGACTGGATTGGCTAGCTGGTTAAGGACACCAGTACCTCTAGGTTAGGGGTTTCTGACTGTTCGGTGGGCTGTAGATCCTTTTGGTGGTCCAGCAACCCCTTGTCAGGTATTTTCCCAAACGTTGCATTACGAAAATGTTCACACATACAGAAAAGTCGAATTCTACAGTGAACACCGGTCTGCCCACCACCTAGTTTCTGCTGTTAGCATTTTCCTCTGCTTGTTTTGCCCCGTTTTCCCAACCGTCTATCAGCTTATTTTTAAACAATAAAAGTTTATAAAAATCAATTACATTGAAATCTAACAATCAGAATGTTTTTAAAAATTTATATAGAGATGTTTGTATATCTTTATTAATGCCTTAAAGCAGCAGGTCTAATAACTACCCTACTTCCAAAGTGGTGATGAGCTTACATTATATTTTGAGATACCTGCGGTAGCTGTAATGTGACAGGAATATACAATTTCTGTTGGTATCAAGATTATAGGTGGGCGCAGTGGCGCACGCCTGTAATCCCAGCACTTTGGGAGGCCGAGGCGGGCGGATCACCAGGTCAGGAGATGGAGACCATCCTGGCTAACACGGTGAAAACCCGTCTCCACTAAGAATACAAAAATTAGCCGGGCGTGGTGGTGGGCACCTGTAGTCCCAGCTACTTGGGAGGCTGAGGCAGGAGAATCACTTGAACCCGGGAGGCAGAGATTGCGGTGAGCCGAGATCACACTGGCTCCTTGCTCCGACCCCCGAAGGCTCTGACGCTCTAGCTTGGCTTGGATCTGGGCCTCCGCATTTTTCGGCATGTGCTCCAGGTGGTGGTGATGTGGGAGCCGCACCCTGTGAGATGCTAATTATGAGATCAGTGTGTGTGTTCATCTGGTTACACTTTGTCAATGGGCTGCACTCAGCACAGACCTGGAGTCTTGGTGATGAGTAAGTTACTTCAGGAGACGAATTTTAACTTACTGCTCTGGTGGAATTACGTCTGTTGAAATCTTCTATGGGCCAGGCACAGTGGCTCACAGCTGTAACCCCAGCACTTTGAGAGCGCAAGGTGGGCAGATCACTTGAACCCAGGAGTTTGAGACCAGCCTGGGCAACACGGCGAAACCCTGTCTGTACAGAAAACATAAAAATTACCCAGGGGCCAGGCGTGATGACTCATGCCTGTAATCCCGGCACTTTGGGAGGCTGAGGCAGGCAGATCACGGGGTCAGGAGATCGAGACTGTCCTGGCCAACATGATGAAACCCCGTCTCTACTAAAATACAACAAATTAGCCAGGCGTGGTGGTGCGCGCCTGTAGTCCCAGCTACTCAGGAAGGTGAGGCAGGGGAATCACTTGAACCCAGGAGACAGAGGTCACAGTGAGCTGAGATTGTGCCACTGCACTCCAGCCTGCCGACAGAGTGAGACTCTGTCTTAAAAAAAAAAAAATTATCCAGGTGTAGTATGTACCTGTAGTCTCAGCTACTCAGGAGGCTGAGGTGGGAGGATCACCTCAGCCCAAGGAGGTCAAGGCTGCAGTGAGCCATGATTGTGCCACTGCACGCCAGCCTGGGTGACAGAGTGAGACACCATCTCAAAAAAGAAAAAAGTAATCTTCTATTAATATACACACAAAAATAAAAGTCACTTAGTCACTCTACCCCAGACACTTCAAGTATACAGGCTAATGGGTGATTAGAAATTTCATTCATTCGTTCTTTGTTCATCATTCTACAAGCCTCAGTGACTACCTACTTCATGCAGGTCCTGTGGTCAGACTGTTGAAGGCCTTTCCTGCTTGACAGATATGTACCCAACTGTGACAGCGAGGGAGAAAGCAATGAATTCTCTAAATGGTACAGATCCTATCGTGTGGACATTTGGAGGAGGACAGCAATTGAGGAGGCCTTCATGAAGGAGAGAGACACCTGTAAGCTGACCCTCGAAGCCATGAAGAACAGAGGAGAGATCCACCTGGGCAAAGGTAGGGAAGCTGGACACTGAAAACTATGGTAAAGCCCACGAGCCAAGCTGGCTGAGGCTGAGTGTGCAGTGGGGACTGTGTAGCTGGGAAGGCAGGTAGGACTGTGCATTGGATCCGAATCGTGTACAGGGAACTATGGGAAGACACGGGCATTCGTGGTATTTGATACGTGGGTTTCACACTCATTGCATTGCCACCATTCTCACACTCATTCTCATTGCATCACCACAGTCCTGGAACTTGGGAGTGGAGAGGAGCGGATGCGTGTGAGAAAGTTCACACATGCTGTGGGGGAAGCCAGCGCCGGGAACTGGAGTTAGAACAAGATGTGCGTAGCTCTAAGAGGTACCGTGGTAGACTTGTCACTGCTTTGTGGATTTGGTTGACTCGAGTTTGATTCTTTATCCTCTCTTTTTTTGAGACGAGAGTTTTGCTCTTGTTGTCCAGGCTGTAGTACAATGGCATGATCTCCGCTCACCGCAACCTCTGTCTCCCAGGTTCAAGCGATTCTCCTGCCTCAGCCTCCCGAGTAGCTGGGATTCCAGGCACGCATCATCACACCCAGCTAATTTTGTATTTTTAGTAGAGACAGGTTTTCTCCATGATGGTCAGGCTGGTCTCGAACTCCTGACCTCAGGTGATCCGTCCACCTCGGCCTTCCAAAGTGCCGGGATTACAGGTGTGAGCCACCACACCCGGCCTGAATCTTTATCCTTTTTAGTGCCCAGTGGACTAGCATTTGGCTCTTTACTCTTTCAAGTGTTTACTGTCTCAGTGGAATTTTCCTCAGTTCAAATATTGGGCGCTGGGTACTGAGTACCAACCCATCAATTACGGTGGGTCACACAAGGTGCTGATGGGCACGGAAGTGCCTCCCACAGAGAGGAGTGTCCTGCCTTCTGTTGACTGCATTTACATGGCGTTAATAATGCATCTGCCATTTAAGTGGATCAGTAATGTCTATTAATGGGATATGTCCGTCATGGAAGGACCTCAGCAAAAGGAAAAGGGCGAGTTGCCTTGGGAGGCTCTTGGTGAAACTCTTCCCGTACCACCCCTGCCCACTCTTGTCTCTCTGGGCCACCCAGCTCCTCAGGACTCGGCAGGAAGGCTGGGTCTGCAGCTGGCCCCCTTATCGCGGAATGACCTTCTGTGCCCCAGGAGAGATTCAAATCTCCTCCTTCCAGGCCTTCCTGCTCCTTTGAGGTGGGAAATAGAATTCACCATAAGGAAGTAACATCTGAACCTCTACTCCAAGAACCATATGATTTTATGGGATTTGGGTTTTGTGTGGTTTTTTGGGTTTTGTTTGTTTGTTTTTTTGAGGCAGAGTTTTGCTCTTGTTGCCGAGGCTGGAGTGCAATGGCGTCATCTCAGCTCACCACAACCTCTGCCTCCTGGGTTCAAGCAATTCTCCTGCCTCAGCCTCCCGAGTAGCTGGGATTACAGGCATGTGCCACCACGTCCGGCTACTTTTTTGTATTTTTAGTAGAGATGGGGTTTCTCCATGTTGGTCAGGCTGGTCTCGAACTCCTGACCTCAGGTGATCCACCCACCTCGGCCTCCCAAAGTGCTGGGATTACAGGCGTGAGCCACCATGCCCGGCTGGGGTTTTTAAATGTTGTTTATTTTCTGTTTTGTTTCCTTTAATTTTGTGGGGAATGTTTTTTGGGTTTGTTGGAATCTCAGGCTAAGGGGGAGGTGTTATTTCACCCTCACCAGAGCTGGAGGGGAAGAGAGAACCCACGTGTCTTCAGAGGCTGCAGGGGTGACCAAGGGACACCTCCAAGCTGCTGCTGGGAACAGTGATGCTGTTGGCAACTCTCCTGCAGCTGACATTTTTCCTCTTGGAAGCACTTCATCCCATAGGGAAATGAGGAGTTTTCTTTTTCTTTTTTTTTAAAGTATCCCTCTGTGTCACCCAGGCTGAAGTGCAGTGCCATGATCTCAGCTCACTGCAGCCTCAATCTCCTGGGCTCAAGCAATCTTCCCACCTCAGCCTCCCAAGGAGCTGGGACCACAGGTACTTGCCACCATGCCCAGCTAATTTTTTAATGTTTTTTGTTTTGTTTTGTTTTTTTAGGTAGAAACAAGAGTCTCACTTCGTTGTCCACGCTGGTCTCTAACTCCTGGGGTCAAGTGATCCTCTCACCTCAGCCTCCCAAAGTGTTGGGATTGTAGGTGTGAGCCACTGGGCCTGGCCTCGTTTGTTGTTGAGTTTTTCTATTTGAGGAGTAATTCCCCTGTCTCTAAAGGCTCAGCCCATTGCACCATACATTCTCGCTTTTCATCTATAAAATGTGTAGAAGGAACAGATACTGGTGTGGGGAAAGCTTGGGATCAGAGGCAGGAGAGTCTGGTTTCCCCCAGGTGAGGCCCCCAGCACATTTCTTTGGAGGAGGGGAGGGCTCTGTCTGAGGCTCCCTCGTAGCTTTTACTGGATACATTTGGGAGTCCACCAGGATTTTATCAGAGACTGTCCCAGGTCTCAGAGCAGACCAGGATGTCCCAGAGTGGGTCCAGACCACAATAATAGACTTTAAAATGCTGGCAAGTCTTAGGAGCAAGGGAGATGATGTAAAAAGAAAATGGCAGGCTGGGTACAGTGGCTCACGCATATAGTCCCAATGTGTCTGGAACTGGTTCCTTCCGGTGGGTTCTTGGTCTCGCTGACTTCAAGCATGAAGCCATGGACCCTCGTGGTGAGTGTTACAGTTCTTAAAGATGGTGTGTCTGGAGTTTGTTCCTTCTGATGTTCTGATGTTCAGATGTGTCCAGAGTTTCTTCCTTCCAGTGGGTTCATGGTCTCGCTGACTTCAGGAGTGAAGCTTCAGACCTTCGCAGTGAGTGTTACAGCTTATCAAGGTAGTGTGGATCCAAAGAGTGAGCAGCAGCAAGATTTATTGTGAAGAGGGAAAGAACAAAACTTCCACAACGTGGAAGAGGACTCCAGCAGGTTGCCACTGCTGGCTTGGGTGGCCAGCTTTTATTCCATTATTTGGCCCCACCCACATCCTGCTGACTGGTCCATTTTATAGAGCGCTGATTGGTCCATTTTACAGAGCGCTGATTGGTCCATTTTACAGAGTGCTGGTTGGTGCGTTTACAATCTTTAGCTAGACATAGAATGCTGATTGGTGCGCTTTTACAGAGGGCTGATTGGTGTGTCTACAATCCTTTAGCTAGACACAAAGCACTGATTGGTGCATTTTTACACAGTGCTGATTGGTGCATTTACAATCCTTTAGCTAGACACAGAGTACTGATTGGTGCGTTTTTACAGAGTGCTGATTGGTGCATTTACAATCCTTTACCTAGACAGAAAAGCTCTCCAAGTCTTCACTCGACCCAGGAAGTCCAGCTGGCTTGATCTCTCACCAGCACTTTGGGAGGCCCAGGTGGGTGGATCACTTGAGGCCAGGAGTTCGAGACCAGCCTAACCAACATGGTGAAACTCCGTCTCTACTAAAAATACGAAAAAATTACACACAAAAAAATTACTCACCGCCGGGCATGGTGGTGTGTGCCTGTAGTCCCAGCTATTTGGGAGGCTGAGGCAGGAGAATCACTTGAGCCGGGGAGGCAGAGGTTGCAGTGAGCTGAGATTGCACCACTGCACTCCAGCCTCGGAGACAGAGCAAGACTCTGTCTTAAAAAAAAAAAACAAAAAAAAAAAAAACAGAGAAAATGTCCCTTTAGAAGTTCCTTTTTTTTTTTTTTTTTTTTTTTCTGAGACAGAGTTTCACTCTTGCTGCCCAGGCTGGAGTGTGCAATGGTGTGAACTCTGCTCATCACAACCTCTGCTTCCTGGGTTCAAGTGATTCTCCTGCCTCAGCCTCCCAAGTAGCTGGGATTACAGGCATGCGCCACCATGACGGGCTAATTTTGTATTTTTAGTAGAGACGGGGTTTCTCCATATTGTTCAGGCTGGTCTCGAACTCCTGACCTCAGGTGATCCGCCCACCTTGGCCTCCCAAAGTGCTGGGATTACAGGCGTGAGCCATCACGCCCGGACTTAGAAGTTCATTTTATAGTTCTCATCACTTCACTGCAGGTACCTTAAATCATCCAACTAGACCAGAGGTGTCCAATCTTTTGACTTCCCTGGGTCACATTGGAAAAAGAATTGTCTTGGGCCACACGTAAATACACTCACACTAACAATAGCTGATGAGCTAAAAAAAACAAAAAATTGCAAAAAAAACCTCACAACGTTTTAACAAAGTTTGTGAATTTGTGTTGAGCCACATTCAAAGCCGTCCTTGTGCCTAGGGTTGGACAAGCTTGAACTAGACAAAGGCTTGTAAATCAGACAACAACGGAACAACAGTCACTGCTCATCCCGTCCTTTATTTCAGGTGAACAGGAAGGGATTATACTCATTACAGGGAAGCGTGATGTGGACTCCTGTGAGGGAGGAGAAGGAGGGGGGCCGTGGTGAGGCAGTGAGGGGGTTGTGACTGCTCTGAACACCAGCCATTCGCCCTGGGCCCCTGGCTGGGGTGAGGGGAGTTTCTGGGGAGGCCTCAGGAAGCTTCCAATCATGGTGGAAGACAGAGGAGGAGCTGGCATGTCACAGGATGAGAGGCAGCAGGAGAGAGAGGAGGAGGTACCAGGTTCTTTTAAACAACTAGCTCTCGCGTGAACTACCAGAGTGAGAATTCACTCATTATCCGGGAGATAGTGCCAAGCCATTCATAAAGAAGCCACATCTATGACCCTACACCGCCCACTAGGCCCCCTCCAACATGGGAGGTCACATTTCAACATGCGATTTGGAGGAACACACATCCAAACTGTATCACTCGAAAGCAGCAGGCATTTTTCTCTCAGTTGGAGAATTCATCTTGGTTTTGGAAATGTCCCTGACTTGGAATTTTTTTTTTTTTTTTCGAGCCAGAGTCTCACTCTGTCGCCCAGGCTGGAGTGCAGTGGCACAGTCTCGGCTTACTGCAAGCTCCGCCTCCCGAGTTCAAGCGATTCTCCTGCCTCAGCCTCCCAAGTAGCTGGGACTATAGGCGCGTGCCACCAGGCCCGGCTAATTTTTGTATTTTTCATAGAGAGGGGGTTTCACCATGTTGGTCAGGCTGGTCTCAAACTTCTGACCTCGTGATCTGCCTGCCTCGGCCTCCTAAAGTGCTGGGATTACAGGCGTGAGCCACACTGCCCGGCCCTGACTTGGACTTTTAATAAGGCAGGTGTAAAAAGCAAAGTCCTCATCTCCCCACTGGGCACAATGGGTGTTTGGCATGTGCTTGTGAGGGTGGTGAGTTGGCCTCAGCCATGGGGAGATAGAATGCAGATACTGGGGGCCACAGCTTGTAAGTGTTTTCCACATTATTTGGACTGTGACCCACAGGAAGAAGTATATTCCACATCACAATGCCATATGTGGACACTTAAAACAAAAGTTTCACATAACACCAATACTTCCTTAAATACACTAATTTTCTTTCTTTCTTTCTTTCTTTCTTTCTTTCTTTCTTTCTTTCTTTCTTTCTTTCTTTCCTTCCTTCCTTCCTTCCTTCCTTCCTTCCTTCCTTCCTTCCTTTCTTTCTTTCTTTCTTTCTTTTTTCTTTTTCTTTCTCTCTCTCTCTCTCTTTCTCTCTTTCTTTCTTTCTTAGATGGAGTATCACTCTGTCACCCAGGCTGGAGTGCAGTGGCGCGATCTTGGCTCACTGCAAGCTCCACCTCCTGGGTTCAAGCGATTCTCCTGTCTCAGCCTCCTGAGTAGCTGGGACTATAGGCGTGTGCCACCAGGCCTGGCTAATTTTTGTATTTTTCATAGAGAGGGGGTTTCACCATGTTGGTTAGGCTGGTCTCAAACTTTTGACCTCGTGATCTACCTGCCTCGGCCTCCCAAACTGCTGGGATGACAGGTGTGAGCCACTGCATCCGGCAATATTTTCTATTTATTTGCGATAATTGCTCACTACAGTGTTGAACTCCCAGGCTCAAGAGATCCTCCTACCTCAGCCTCCTGAGCAGCTAGGACTACAGGTGTGCACCATCCCACCTGGTCAATTTTTTTTAAGAAGCAGGGTCTCTATCATACAGGCTGGAGTGCAGTGGTGCAATAATGGCTCACTGCAGCCTCAACCCACCTGGGCTCAGGTGATCCTCCTGCCTCAGCCTCCCAAGCAGCTGGGACCACAAGTGTGCACGACCACATCCAGCTAATTTTTTATTTTTTGTATAGAAGGGGTCTCCCTATGTTGCCCAGGCTGGTCTTGAACTCCTGGGCTCAAGCAATCCTCCTGCCTTGGCCTCCCAAGGTGCTAGGATTAAAGGCATGAGCCACTGTGCCTGACTTGGCTAGTTATATATATAGGTGTGTGTGTGTGTGTGTGTGTGTGTGTGTGTGTGTGTGTGTCTGTCTATATATATAGACAAAGTTTTGCTATGTTGCCCAGGCTGGTCTTGAACTCCTGGGCTCAAGCGGTTCTGCTGCTTCAGCCTCCCAAAGTGCTGGGATTACAGGCATGAGCGCCTGTGCCCAACCTATTTTTTTTAATGCTGGTTGTCGCCCAGTAATTTGATGTCATGCCTCACCAGTGGGTCTGGATCTAGTCTCTGAAGCTGTGCAGTAAGGGACCCCGTAAGGATGGGCCTGGTCCTGTCCCCGAGAGCCCTGTCCCCTCTAGATGCCCCTCATGTGGTCTCTAAAGCTTCAGGACAGTTCCGTCAGAAGTTGCAGCCTGGTCTTGGCTGTGCCGTGGGGAGTTCAGGAGGGGCTGCCTGTACTGGAGGGGAAGTCAGAGCAGAGCCCTTCTCTAAAGCCACAGTGGCAGTTAAGACAGGACATGGAGGGCAAGTGCCTGGCAGTTCAGCCTCTCCAGTAGCACACAAAGGTTTGATGAATCAAGAACAGCAGAGTGCCTGGGACTGGGGCTAGTGGTAGGCTCTGCTCTGGGGCCTCACTTACTCACCCCTTCCCTAATCACCCCAGAAAAATGAAGGTCCTGGTCTCTAAAGACCCCTTCAAAGAACAAACAGGCCCTGGAACAAAACCTGGAACTCCCTTGGGGAGTGGAGAGACTCAATGTGGCACCATCTCTGTGACACTCATGTTGTCCTGTGCTGGGGTTGATGGGCAAGCTCTTCTCCAGGGCAGATGCAATTCAGGCGACTCCTGTGAGACTCTGAAAGTCCACCTCCCCTCTATACCTTACCCTGGAGCAGCACTGTCAGGGTGACGGGCATCTTCTTAGGGGTGATGTCACTCGGTGGCGGCTGCTTTAGTGAGCATTGGAGTGCTGTGTTAGCAGGGGGCTGAGGAGGAGGCTGGCAGGAGAGCCAAGATGACTTCAGCCCCTAAAATTCGCAGTCATGACTGGGGCAGGGTGGAATCGAAATGCCCTCCCTGTTGAAAAAAAAAAAAATCAGGGCCAGGTTTGTCCACTCATTCAATAATATGTCTAGAACTATTATGTGGCAGGCACAGGGACATACAGAGATGTCCAAAGGCATGGTCCCTGCTCTCCGGGAGCTTCTGGTCTTAGCATGGGACACAGTCACTAAGTCAACGAGATCCTACTGGATAGTGACAGGTGCTCTAAGGGAATAAGATGAGATAATGGGATAGAAAGTGGCTGGGCTGGGACTGGGGGCTACTTTGGGTGGGCAATAATAACAGGCCTTTTTGAAGAAATGGCAGTTGAGTTGAAATGGATGAAAAGATGCAAAGATCCACGCTTTCCCAAATGACAGTTTGAGAGCAAAATACAGGTTCCCAGCCCCATCTTAGATTTCGTGAATGAAAATTTGAGGGGCAGGGCCTAGGAATTTGCCTTTTTTTCTTCCACATGATTCCCATGCACTTTGAAACTGGACACCTTCCTTGGGGCTTTTACTTTAGAATCACACTGATGAATTTCAGGGTACCTTCCAGTTCCCCGAGTCTGTGGCTTAGGGAAGGGAGCCTCTTTGTGTGTGAAAGCCAGGGGTAGGGAGAGGAGCAGGACTGCTTGTGGTCAGACTGCAGGATGCAGAAAATAAGCGTGCGCAGCTCCTCACCACACCGCGCTCACCCAGGGCCCTGCGTCTTTGGCTGTCAGGAGTTCTAAACCTGCCCCCCCGGAGGCCCTCCCTCATCCCACTCCCACTCCTGTTGAATTCCACATACTGAGAGGGTTGCAGTCATAGCTGCATGGATCAGTTCTATTTCTTGTGCGTTGGGAACCATTCCAAACAGTTGGTACATGCGCACTCTCCAGGCATATTTTTAGGATCCTAGGGTGGGTTGCCTGTGTCTCCCCGCCCCCACCCCGTCTGCCCCCCACCCCCGCACCATCCGCCCTGAGTGTGGGAGGGAGGTCTTCATGCTGCCGGCACTCGGGACCTGCCTGACCACCGACTCCGCCGGAGTGTGGGCTTTTAAACCTGCAGCAGCTGCTGCAGTAGAAACGCGCATTAGTCGCAGCAGACACAGGCAGCCTCAGGTGGGACAAGTCTTGTCTCTTCCAGCCTGTGGGGGAGCCACGGCTTCCCCCCCACAACCACCCCCTGCCCACGGAGCAAGAATGTATCTCCCTGGCAGGAGACCTGGCGCGAGGTGAATGGAGAAACCTGTTGTGTCCCCTTCCTTCCTCCCCTGGCCTCAGTTCCCCATCTATTCAATAGGAAGAACCCTTTGGGATTTCTTTGCGAGAGAAAGGGGAGTTTTGCTTTAAACGGAGCTCTTCCCGGCCGTGCGCGGTGGCTCACGCCTGTAATCCCAGCACTTTGGGAGGCCGAGGTGGGCGGATCACCTGAGGTCAGGAGTTCAAGACCAGCCTGGCCAACATGGTGAAACCCCGTCTCTACTAAAAATACAAAAATTATCACGCCTGTAGTCCCAGCTACTTGGGAGGCTGAGGCAGGAGAATCGCTTGAACCCGGGAGGCGGAGGTAGCAGTGAGCTGAGATCGCACCACTGCACTCCAGCCTCGGCGACAGAGCGAGGCTCCGTCTCAAAAATAAATGAATAAATAAATTTAAAATAAAATAAAAAGGAGCCCTTCCCCCTTTCACTTCCTCTCCTCCGCGATCGCTGCTTTCAGCTGGGCAACAGCACAGGGCGGTCCTGCGCATCCGGGGGGCTGCGCTCCCAGACCGGTGGCTGGGGAGTAGGTTGCAGGGGTGTCACTGTGTCAGGGGAGGAGGAGGAGGAGGAGGAAGAAGAGGTAGCGGCAAGGTCGCGGTCTGAGGTTCCGGTGCTCGCCGCCGCCCAGCTCCCAGCCGAGGCTTTCTCAACCGCGTCAATAAAAGGCCGCCCCGACCCGCCCCCGCGCCCCGCAGCCCTGCCGGACACCCCGGGCTGCAGCTGAGCGGGCGCAGACGGGCCGAGGCGGGCGCCGGGCGCGCAGGGACCGAGGGACCGAGTGCTCCCCATGAGCGCACGTGGGCCGGGCGGTCCGCAAGCCCGGCTGAGAGCGCGCCATGGGGCAGGCGGGCTGCAAGGGGCTCTGCCTGTCGCTGTTCGACTACAAGACCGAGAAGTATGTCATCGCCAAGAACAAGAAGGTGGGCCTGCTGTACCGGCTGCTGCAGGCCTCCATCCTGGCGTACCTGGTCGTGTAAGTTCTCCGCGGACTTTTGGGAAGGCGGGGGAGGGGCAGGGCGGGTGCCAGCCGCCGCGTCCTTCTCCAGGGTCCTGGAATTCGCAGGCGTGCACGCGGTTTTCCCGGTAGCTGGGGGTCTGTGAGCCTGCTTGCTGTGGGGGTCCTCTTTGGGTCCTTGGGTGTAGGAGTAGGGTGTAGAGAGGGGGCTCTCCACTCCCCCACTGGCGCTAGAGGTGATGAGAGGTGGGCAGGGGCCTTCTGGTTTCCTCGATTTATCAGGCTTTCCCTGCAGCTGCTTCTCCCAGAGTCGGGTCCCCACGTGTTAGGGCCATGGGAAGGGGGCAGGGATGCCAGGGGGCTGGGTGGCAGCTGTCGCCCCAGGAGCCTCCCTGGGCCTTGGCCTGGCAGCTGACCCAGGCGCCGGCAGGTTATTTATAATCACAGGGTGTCACTGCCTACTCAGAGCTGGAGAAACTCATCAGCCCGGCATGTTCCTGAGCTCCCTTCCGGTCAACTTGCCCCACCCGCGGCCAGCCTCTCTGGTGTCCAGCTGGGGGTCCTGCCCAGAGGCCTCTATCTCTGCACCCAGCTCGGCCATCCCCTTCCCCCATCCTCATGCCACCTGGCAGGAGCTGGCGCCACAAAGCCAAAGAGGCAACTTGTGGAGGCTGCTCTGCCAGGCGCCTTCAGAGCCCTGACCCCGGGGTGGGTCGGGGGTGAGCAGGTGGAGGGGAGAAGCAGCGCTGGACAATGGGGATGCGCCTCATTCCACTCGTTCAGTAAATGCGGTGGAGTTCCTCCTGCTTCCTCCTGGGAGGGCAGCCCTGACGCCTGGCTCTCCCTCGGAGGTCCAGCAGTCCGCGTTCTCTGAGCTGCATCCCCAGGCCCCTGGCCGCCTCCCACCTGAGCGGCCTCGTAGGCGCTGTGCTGTTGCTCAGCCAGGCCTGCCCGTCCTCCTCCACTCCCTTAGCATCCACTCAGCCCCCAGATCTGGGCTTTCCAGTAACTCCCTCTCCCTTCCTCCCTGGCCTTCCCACAGTGTAATTATTGGGCTTATTTGGGGGATCATTTGCCTGATGTCGCTGTCAGTCCGGGAATGCCCTGAGGGTGGGGCCCCAGCAGCACTTAACTGCTTAGGGAATAGATGTGAAATGAACGCATGAATGAATAAATGGAGTTGCTTTTGCTTGAACAATAGAAATTTAATTCTCGCAGTCCTGGATGTGGAAATCTGAGACGAGGGTGGTAGCATGGTTCGGGGTCTCAGGGGGGGCTCTCTCCTTGGCTTGCAGATGGCCACCCTCTCGCTGTGTCCTCACATGGCAGGGAAAGCAGGACATATTTAACTAAGTACAAGTATGAAAATTAGGAAATTGGCGGCCGGGCGCTGTGGCTCATGCCTATAATCCCAGCCCTTTGGGAAGCCGAGGTGGGTGGATCACCTGAGGTCAGGAGTTCGAGACCAGCCTGGCCAACATGGAGAAACCCTGTTTCTACTAAAAATACACAACAATTAGCTGGGCATGATAGTGGCGCCTGTAATCCCAGCTAATCGGGAGGCTGAGGCAGGAGAATCTGTCTCTATGGATTTGCCTATTCTGGGTATTTCGTATAAATGAAATTGTATAGTATGCGGCCTTTTTTTTTTTTTTTCTGGCTTCTTTCACTTGGTGTCATGTTTTCAAGGTTCACCCATGTTGTGGCATCTATCAGCCCTCCATTCCTCTCTGTGGCTGATACTATCCTGCCGTGTGGGGCTGCCACATTGTGGTCATGCATTCATCAGCTGATGGACATTTGGGTGGTTTTCACACCGCTGAGTGTAGTGGCTCATGCCTGTAACCCCAGCACTTTGGGAGAGGAGACCGCGGTGGCTGGATCACTTGAGGTCAGGAGTTCAAGGCTAGCCTGACCAACGTGGTAAAACCCCGTCTCTACTAAAAATTCAAAAATTGGCTGGGTGTGGTGGCGAGCGCATGTAATCTCAGCTACTCGCACCAGTGCACTCCAGCAGCCTGGGCAGCAGAGCAAGACTGTCTCAAAAAAAAAAAAAGAAGAAGAATGCTTCTGAGAACATTCATGTACAAGTTTTTTGTGAACATGTTTTCAATTTTTCAATTTTTAATTATTATTATTATTATTTTTGAGATGGAGTTTCGCTCTTGTTGCCCAGGCTGGAGTGCAATGGCATGATCTCAGCTCACTACAACCTCTGCCTCCTGGGTTCAAGAGATTCTCCTGCCTCAGCCTCTGGATTAACTGGGATTACAGGCATGGGCCACCATGCCTGGCTAATTTTTGTATTTTTTTAGTAGACACGGAGTTTCACCATGTTGGTCAGGCTGGCCTCGAACTCCTGACCTCAGGTGATCCACCTGCCTTGGCCTCCCAAAGTGCTGGGATGACAGGCGGGAGCCACTGTGCCTGGCCATGTTCTCAATCTCTTGGGAATTTTCTGGCTTATCTGGTAACTCGATCCTTAACCTTTTGAGGAACTGCTAAACTGTTTTCTACCATAACTACCTCATTTTACATCCCTATCAGTGATATACGGGGGTTCTAATTTCTTCACAACCTCATCAACACCTGTTATCTGTAGGGTTTTTAAAAAATGATAGCCATCCTAGTGGAAGTGAAGTGGTGTTTTATTGTGGTTTTGATTTGTATTTCCCTAATGACCAATGGTGTTTGTCATCTTTTCATATGCTTAATTGGGCATTTGTGTATCTCTCTCTCTCTTTTTTTTTTTTTTTTTTGAGAAATGTCTATTCAAATCCTTTGCTCATTTTTAAATTGGATTATTTGGCTTTTTATTGTTAAATTATAAGAGTTTTTTGTATCTTCTGGATACTAAACCCTTACCAGCTACATTATTTCAAATGTTTTCTCCCATTCTGTGGGTTGTCTTTTCACTTTCTTGAGAGTGTCTTTTGATGCATGAACATTTTAAATTTTTATGAAGTCCAACTTACCTATTTTTTCTTTTATTGCTTGCGTTTTTAGTGTCAACAAGTATGGGATTTGTACTCTTATTTCATTTTTTTGTTGTTGTTTTTGAGGCTGGGTCTCACCCTGTCACCTGGGCACAATCATGGCTCACTGCAGCCTCGACCTCCCAGGCTCGAGGGATCCTCCCACCTCAGCCTCCCGAGTAGCTGGGACGACAGGCTGGTGCCACCATGCCTAGATTACTTTTTTGTTTTTCATAGAGATGGGGTCTCACTGTGTTGCCCCGGCTGGTCTCAAACTCCTGGGCTCAAGCGATCCTCCTGCCTTGGTCTCCCAAAGTGCTAGGAGTACAGGCGCGAGCCACCGTGCCTGGCCTGTACTCTTATTTTGTAGAATGCCCCTCAGTTTGGGTTTGTTTGAGGTCTCCTCGTGATTGGTTTCAGGTTAGGCACCATCACAACCCCAGAGGGAGGCGCTGTCACCCCATGTTATGTATGGGAAATTGGCTTGCCTGGGGTCACCAAACCAGTATGTGGCTTCAGCCCAGGCTTGTCCACTTGGGGCCTCTGAGTGGACAGTGGTCTTTGCCTCTTTTATTTATTTATTTATTTATTTTTTGAGACAGAATCTCACTCTGTCGCCCAGGCTGGAGTGCAGTGGTGCGATCTCTGCTTACTGCAAGCTCTGCCTCCCGGGTTCACGCCATTCTCCTGCCTCAGCCTCCTGAGTAGCTGGGACTACAGGCGCCCACCACCACGCCTGGCTAATTTTTTGTATTTTTTTTTTTTTTTTTGAGTAGAGACAGGGTTTCACTGTGTTAGCCAGGATGGTCTCAATCTCCTGACCTTGCGATCTGCCTGCCTCGGATTATAGGCGTGAGCCACTGCGCCCGGCTGGTCTTTGCCTCTTCAGGGCCCCCATCTCTAGGGTTGCTTGTCGCCTCTGCTGCTTGCAGGACTGGGTTTCAGTCAGCAGTGGGAGCTGTGGCCCCTGCCCAGGAGCTGGTGGGACAGGTGGAGCCCTGAGCCTGCTCCACCTCAACTAGGAGTTGCTGTGACTGCTACCCCACCCCAAGGCCTGGGGAAGCTCCCCGAAGCCAGCAGAGTGGCTGATGCCCACGTACCGGCCCCCTTCCCACAGATGGGTGTTCCTGATAAAGAAGGGTTACCAAGACGTCGACACCTCCCTGCAGAGTGCTGTCATCACCAAAGTCAAGGGCGTGGCCTTCACCAACACCTCGGATCTTGGGCAGCGGATCTGGGATGTCGCCGACTACGTCATTCCAGCCCAGGTCTGAGTCCCCACCTAGCACACGGCCAAGGCTGGCAGGGACTGCCTGGTTCGGGTGGGTCACACGGGAAGCTTCTTGGATACGCAGGGACCCCCATCCATCATCTCTCTTGGCCCAAGACAGCTGCCAGGGCTTGCAGAGAGCAACCCTGTCCAGATCCTACCTCCCATGCCAAACCCCTGCCCTCTTTGACTGTGCCGCGGGTGACTGCTCTGTTCTATCTGAGTCTGCTGAGAACAAATGGGACCCAGAGAACTTTCAGGTCATTGTGAGTCAGGTGGGCTGGCACAGAGAACCCCCCTTCTAAGTCACTGCCTCTGGGAATAGCTCTCCAGCCTGTTCACAGTTGGCCAGGGCCAGGGCAGCCTGAGCCCTGCGCCCACTTCTCCCGGATCCTGGGGCAGTTGGGGTTTGTGAGTCTGGAGGAGATCTATCAATGGACATCTACCTGGGGACTGTGGGGTCCATGAGCAGATGGGCAGAGTATACCAAGTTTGTGGCCCCATTATCCCCAAAACCCAGGCAGAGGGACCGCCCTCTTTCAGGTAACGCTGGAAAGGTGGGGTGGTCCCTAAGGGGCAGGAGGAGGTTCCTCAGTGCCTCTCTGGTTCCTTAGGGAGAGAACGTCTTTTTTGTGGTCACCAACCTGATTGTGACCCCCAACCAGCGGCAGAACGTCTGTGCTGAGGTTTGATTTGGCGAGGGGCCCTGGCGTGGGGGTGGGAGAGCCACCGGCAGTGGTTGGGGTCTACTCTCTTCTGAAGCAAGGGTGTCTGTCCACTCCAAGGGTCTCGGGTGGCTGTGTGCACCCGGGTGTGGTTCCTGCATTATATGGGGGAGAAGTAGGTTCTCAGAGTGTGTGTGGGCCAGGCCGAAGAAGAACCCCTATTCTATCTCCTGGAGTGGGACCCGGCTCTGAGCTGGGGGAACCCCCCCATCCAGGTGCCCCTTCTCTCCTGGCAGAATGAAGGCATTCCTGATGGCGCGTGCTCCAAGGACAGCGACTGCCACGCTGGGGAAGCGGTTACAGCTGGAAACGGTGAGGGCCTGGAGCGGCCACGGGCTGAAGGAGGACTCGGAGTGGGAGGCTCCTGGCATTGATCCTGTCCCACCCCTGCAGGAGTGAAGACCGGCCGCTGCCTGCGGAGAGAGAACTTGGCCAGGGGCACCTGTGAGATCTTTGCCTGGTGCCCGTTGGAGACAAGCTCCAGGCCGGAGTGAGTGGCTGCAGCCTCAGGACCCTGAGGGGTTTCCCAGCCCCGTGCGGTGGGTCCCAGCCTGAGGGTGGAGTCCTGCCCACTCTGGGAGCCTCACGCTGAGGGAGGAGTCAGGCTGTCCCAGCGAGGCCCGACGGCCTCCCCAGCATGAGCAAATTAACTGTCCTGGGCAGAGGCTCCAGGGGACCCAAGGAACAGGCCTCACACTGGCCCAGGCCTGGGGGAGGGGCACAGGGGTGGGGCCTCCTGGACAGGCTGTTCTGGGTTGGTTTTCAGGGAGCCATTCCTGAAGGAGGCCGAAGACTTCACCATTTTCATAAAGAACCACATCCGTTTCCCCAAATTCAACTTCTCCAAGTACGTGGGCTTGGCTACTGGGGGCCACGGGTGGGCCTTGGTCGATGAGGGGCCTTGGCTGGCCCTCCGTGGGTCTCTGCCTGGGGGTGTGTGTGCGCGCGTGTGTGCACGTGTGTGCGTGTGTTCGCGTGTGTGCGTGTGTGCGCGTGCATGTGTCTGTGTGCATGTGTGCGTGCGTTTGTGTGTGTGCGTGTGTTCGCGTGTGTGCGTGCGTGCACGCGTGTGTGCGTGTGTGTGTGATGTCTGCATGTGAGTGGGTGATGTCTGCATGTGAATAAACGGTGGGTGGTGCTGGGGCGCCCCTTCCCCTGCTGTAAAGTGGGGTGTTGCTGCGGGGAGCTGTCAGCACTCAGGTTGGTGAGGGACCGAGTGACTCCTGGCCAGGCCGGGAAACATCAAGTCTTACTTCATTTCTCGGCTGCCCATGGCCTCCACCCAGAAGCAATGTGATGGACGTCAAGGACAGATCTTTCCTGAAATCATGCCACTTTGGCCCCAAGAACCACTACTGCCCCATCTTCCGACTGGGCTCCGTGATCCGCTGGGCCGGGAGCGACTTCCAGGATATAGCCCTGGAGGTGGGTGGGGTGCACGCAGGGAGCCCTCCCTGAGGGCCTGGGGGCACTGGGCCTGGCTCTGTGACGAGGAGGGTGTGGACGGGGACTCGTGGGGCGAGGGTGGCCCTGCAAAGTCACCTGCCCCCAGGGACTCAGTGTTTTCAGAACTGGCTGTGGCACACAGGCAGGCCGTGGCAGCGGGCGAGGGTGGCCCTGCAAAGTCACCTGCCCCCAGGGACTCAGTGTTTTCAGAACTGGCTGTGGCACACAGGCAGGCCGTGGCAGCGGGCGAGGGTGGCCCTGCAAAGTCACCTGCCCCCAGGGACTCAGTGTTTTCAGAACTGGCTGTGGCACACAGGCAGGCTGTGGCAGCGCTCAGACCACGGGCAGTCAGTGAGAGCCAGACCTGGCACCTGCTGTGCGGTTCTGAGTCCTTGGGGCACCAGCCGAAGGTGAGGCAGAGGGACCCCCTTTGGCACATGCTGGCTGGAGTGTGAAGTGCCTGTCCAGAGAGGCCTACCCTGTGCGGCTCCCTTCTCCCTGAAGAACGAGGGAGGCAGCCCTGAGGCAGGGACGACGCAGTGTTCTCAGCCGCTCCATGGGGGGACTAAGCCTCCTGGAGGGTGGTCTCGAGGGGCTGACCTCGTGCCTGAGCACCTCCTCCTATTGTCCAGTGCCGGTGAAGGGCTGGCCTGGGATGCTGTCCGTCTCCGGAAAGCTGTGTGTGCTGACCCTCATCTCTCTTTTATCAAGGGTGGCGTGATAGGAATTAATATTGAATGGAACTGTGATCTTGATAAAGCTGCCTCTGAGTGCCACCCTCACTATTCTTTTAGCCGTCTGGACAATAAACTTTCAAAGTCTGTCTCCTCCGGGTACAACTTCAGGTAACCGCTGCCTTGTGCCCACTTGTGACCTGACCATGATCAGTGGCACTCACTCATCTGGGTGCCAGCACTATTGAGGCCCCTTCCTGGGGGTGGGTGTCAGAGCGGGAGGTGCAGGGACAGATGGCCCAGGAGAGGTGTGGACCCCAGCAGAGTGGCCAGCGACTGAAGCTGGGGGTGCCTCTGGGAGAGGAGAGCGCGTGTTCTTGCCTGTTTCTCTCCGTGAAGCCGAGTCTTGCGGCCTCTGCCGCATCCTTTCCATCCGCGCTTTGGCGACCCAAGGGTTGCTCAGAGTAGGGTGGGGAAGCCCTTGCTCCTCAGGGAATGTCTGGCAGGGATTTCAAATAGCTGGATGCCTCTTTGTTTTTGGCTCAGTGAGAAGGTCTGCAAGCCACTCCTGGGGCTGCTGAGAGTCAGGGTTCCGGGAGTCCTTCTAAGTCCCCAGAGCAGCCACATCAGTGCTGCCTAAAGAGGGAAGGCCAGGCAGGCTGAGGCCTCCCCTGGGCCCTGTCTCCCTCAGATTTGCCAGATATTACCGAGACGCAGCCGGGGTGGAGTTCCGCACCCTGATGAAAGCCTACGGGATCCGCTTTGACGTGATGGTGAACGGCAAGGTGCGTGTGCCTTCTCCTGTTCTGAGGCTGGGCGGGGGGCGGGGGCTGGGAGGGGGACGTTGGGAGGGTCCCTGGGGGCCCAGCTGTGTGTTCTCCTGTTCTGAGGCTGGGCGGGGGGCGGGGGACGTTGGGAGGGTCCCTGGGGGCCCAGCTGTGTGTTCTCCTGTTCTGAGGCTGGGCGGGGGGCGGGGGACGTTGGGAGGGTCCCTGGGGGCCCAGCTGTGTGTTCTCCTGTTCTCAGGCTGGGAGGGGGACGTTGGGAGGGTCCCTGGGGGTCCCGCTGTGCGTTCTCCTGTTCTGAGGCTGGGCGGGGGGCGGGGGACGTTGGGAGGGTCCCTGGGGGTCCCGCTGTGTGTTCTCCTGTTCTGAGGCTGGGCGGGGGGCGGGGGACGTTGGGAGGGTCCCTGGGGGCCCAGCTGTGTGTTCTCCTGTTCTCAGGCTGGGAGGGGGACGTTGGGAGGGTCCCTGGGGGCCCAGCTGTGTGTTCTCCTGTTCTGAGGCTGGGCGGGGGGCGGGGGACGTTGGGAGGGTCCCTGGGGGCCCAGCTGTGTGTTCTCCTGTTCTGAGGCTGGGCGGGGGGCGGGGGACGTTGGGAGGGTCCCTGGGGGCCCAGCTGTGTGTTCTCCTGTTCTCAGGCTGGGAGGGGGACGTTGGGAGGGTCCCTGGGGGTCCCGCTGTGCGTTCTCCTGTTCTGAGGCTGGGCGGGGGGCGGGGGACGTTGGGAGGGTCCCTGGGGGTCCCGCTGTGTGTTCTCCTGTTCTGAGGCTGGGCGGGGGGCGGGGGACGTTGGGAGGGTCCCTG
Organism: Homo sapiens; assembly: GCF_000001405.40. NCBI lineage: Eukaryota > Metazoa > Chordata > Mammalia > Primates > Hominidae > Homo > Homo sapiens. The sequence continues at coordinate 3,687,210 of NC_000017.11, read as the reverse complement.
GGGGCCCAGCTGTGTGTTCTCCTGTTCTCAGGCTGGGAGGGGGACGTTGGGAGGGTCCCTGGGGGCCCAGCTGTGTGTTCTCCTGTTCTGAGGCTGGGCGGGGGGCGGGGGACGTTGGGAGGGTCCCTGGGGGCCCAGCTGTGTGTTCTCCTGTTCTCAGGCTGGGAGGGGGACGTTGGGAGGGTCCCTGGGGGCCCAGCTGTGCGTTCTCCTGTTCTGAGGCTGGGCGGGGGGCGGGGGACGTTGGGAGGGTCCCTGGGGGCCCCGCTGTGTGTTCTCCTGTTCTGAGGCTGGGCGGGGGGCGGGGGACGTTGGGAGGGTCCCTGGGGGCCCCGCTGTGCGTTCTCCTGTTCTGAGGCTGGGCGGGGGGCGGGGGACGTTGGGAGGGTCCCTGGGGGCCCCGCTGTGCGTTCTCCTGTTCTGAGGCTGGGCGGGGGGCGGGGGACGTTGGGAGGGTCCCTGGGGGCCCAGCTGTGTGTTCTCCTGTTCTCAGGCTGGGAGGGGGACGTTGGGAGGGTCCCTGGGGGCCCAGCTGTGCGTTCTCCTGTTCTGAGGCTGGGCGGGGGGCGGGGGACGTTGGGAGGGTCCCTGGGGGCCCCGCTGTGTGTTCTCCTGTTCTGAGGCTGGGCGGGGGGCGGGGGACGTTGGGAGGGTCCCTGGGGGCCCCGCTGTGCGTTCTCCTGTTCTGAGGCTGGGCGGGGGGCGGGGGACGTTGGGAGGGTCCCTGGGGGCCCCGCTGTGCGTTCTCCTGTTCTGAGGCTGGGCGGGGGGCGGGGGACGTTGGGAGGGTCCCTGGGGGCCCCGCTGTGCGTTCTCCTGTTCTGAGGCTGGGCGGGGGGCGGGGGACGTTGGGAGGGTCCCTGGGGGCCCCGCTGTGCGTTCTCCTGTTCTCAGGCTGGGAGGGGGACGTTGGGAGGGTCCCTGGGGGCCCCGCTGTGTGTTCTCCTGTTCTGAGGCTGGGCGGGGGGCGGGGGACGTTGGGAGGGTCCCTGGGGGCCCCGCTGTGCGTTCTCCTGTTCTCAGGCTGGGAGGGGGACGTTGGGAGGGTCCCTGGGGGCCCCGCTGTGCGTTCTCCTGTTCTGAGGCTGGGCGGGGGGCGGGGGACGTTGGGAGGGTCCCTGGGGGCCCCGCTGTGCGTTCTCCTGTTCTGAGGCTGGGCGGGGGGCGGGGGACGTTGGGAGGGTCCCTGGGGGCCCCGCTGTGCGTTCTCCTGTTCTCAGGCTGGGAGGGGGACGTTGGGAGGGTCCCTGGGGGCCCCGCTGTGTGTTCTCCTGTTCTCAGGCTGGGCGGGGGGCGGGGGACGTTGGGAGGGTCCCTGGGGGCCCCGCTGTGCGTTCTCCTGTTCTGAGGCTGGGCGGGGGGGCGGGGGACGTTGGGAGGGTCCCTGGGGGCCCCGCTGTGTGTTCTCCTGTTCTCAGGCTGGGCGGGGGGCGGGGGACGTTGGGAGGGTCCCTGGGGGCCCCGCTGTGCGTTCTCCTGTTCTCAGGCTGGGAGGGGGACGTTGGGAGGGTCCCTGGGGGCCCCGCTGTGCGTTCTCCTGTTCTCAGGCTGGGAGGGGGACGCTGGGAGGGTCCCTGGGGGCCCCGCTGTCCAACCTGCCTCGCTCACTGGCCTTGTCTCTATCTTCCAGGCAGGGAAGTTCAGCATCATTCCCACCATCATCAACGTGGGCTCTGGGGTGGCGCTCATGGGTGCTGGGAGTACCTCCCCTCCCTCCCCGCGTCCCACCCTCTCCCCGGCGGCCGCACTGGCAGGGAGGGGGAGGCTGCTGTTCAGGAGGACCGTGTCCCAGTGCCCCCAGAAAGAACCAGAGCTGGCAAGATCAGAATAGGCGTGGGAAAAGAGGGCTTTCTGGGATTTCACGCTCTGCCAGCTGTCCTCAGGTAGCAGTGACAGCCCGAGTCTCTTTCCAGAGCCAGGGAGGCATGTGCTGGTAGCTCTGCAGCTGTGCATGGGTTTAGGTCAGTCCCCAGCCGAGGCGTGGCTGGGATATCCCTGGGATCCCAGGTGAGTCCCTGAACTTCTAAAGTCTCTATCTCTACTTCTGCTAAAAGAGGGCAGGATTAGGCCGGGCGCAGTGACTCACACCTGTAATCCCAGTGCTTTGGGAGGGTGAGGTGGCGGATCACCTGAGGTTGTGAGTTCGAGACCAGCCTGACCAACATGGAGAAACCCTGCCTCTACTAAAAATACAAAAATTAGCCAGGTGTGGTGGCACATGCTTGTAATCCCAGCTGCTCAGGAGGCTGAGGCAGGAGAATCGCTTGAACCCGGGAGGAGGAGGTTGCGGTGAGCCCAGATCACACAACTGCACCCCAGCCTGGACAACAAGAGCAAAACTCCATCTCCAAAAAAAAAAAAAAAAAAAAAAAAAAGGGGGCAGGATTAGGCTGCAGACAGTTTCTTAGCCTGGGTGCTGCTGACTTTTTGGGTGGGAGAATTCTGTGTTGTGGTCTTACACACATCCTTGGACATGCCCTTAAACATTCCACAATGCACAGAGGGCTGTGCTGGGTGTCGTAGGAGGTTTTTGTTTGTTTTCTATTTCATATTTCACACTTTTCTGGTCGATACTATATTTTCCCAGACCCTGAGGATGTTGATTTCAGAGACAGGGTTTTTGCTCTGTTGCCCAGGCTGGAGTGCAGTGGCATGATCATGGCTCACTGCAGTCTTGAACTCCTGGGCTCAAGCGATCCTCCCACCTCAGCCTCCCCACTAGCCAGGGCTGCAGGTGCACCACCACCTGTGGCTAATTTTTAAATTTTTTGTAGAAATGGGGTCTCACTATGTTGGCCAGGCTGATCTTGAACCCCTGGGCTCAGGCAATCCTCCGGCATTGGCCTCCCCAAGTGCTGGGATTATGGGCGTGAGCCACCGCGCCCAGCCCATTGTAGGATGTTTAAGAGCATTCCCGGTTTCTACCCACTAGATGTTAGGGGCACCCTCCCCTGCAGTTGTGATGGAGCAAAATCCCAGCTGGCTGAGAACCACCCGACTGAAAGGCTGAGAGGCAGGGAAGGCAGCCCTGTGACTCTTCCTTAGAGGTGGCCCTTCAGTGGGGCCGGGAGCGGCTCACAGGGGAGGAGACACAGGGACTGAGGGCAGGGAAAGGCGTCCTGAGTCTACACTGCCCCGTGGTCCTTCTGGAGTTTTTGAGAGCCATGGGAGTGGTCAGTGCCCATCCCGGCAGGTCCCTTTCCCAGGTTTCTGGCAGCCTCTTCCCTCATTCCTCTCCCTGTGCACACAAGACAGCCCCACTGGAGGAGTCCATTGGGACCCAGGGGTGACTTTTGTTAAAACCTGGAAAATTGTGTCCCATACCAGGACCACGTTCCTGGGAGGGGGTCAAGAAAAGTGAGCTCCACATGGATCCCTACCTGCAGACAGTCACTGGGAGGGTCCTGGATGTTTGCGCCTGTTACTTTCTTACAGAAGGCCCACCTTCAGCTATCACTTTTCTTTTTTTTTTTTTTTTTTTGAGACGGAGTCTCACTCTGTCGCCCAGGCTGGAGTGCAATGGCATGATCTTGGCTCACTGCAGCCTCTGCCTCCCAGGCTCAAGCAATTCTTCTGCCTCAGCCTCCTGAGTAGCTGGGATTACAGGCGTGCGCCACCGCGCCCGGTTAATTTTCGTATTTTTGTAGAGACAGGGTTTCACCATGTTGGCCAGGCTGGTCTCCAACTCCTGACCTCAGGTGATCCGCCCACCTCGGCCTCCCAGTGCTGGGATCACAGGCGTGAGCCACTGCGCCCAGCCCATTCATCACTTTCTTGTGATGTGGGTAAAATCAGAGCACCCTCTGGGGACAGACCTGTGAACTGGAAGTAATGGCGCAGGAAGAGGTGGTGGTCAAGGTTAGGTTTGGGGTTGGTCTCTGGGGAGCAGCGAATTGGTAAGCAACATTTTTGGCATCTAGGGGATGGATGTGCAGCACCCAGGGTCAGGGGACCAAGATTCCTTGTTGGCCCCTCCACCAACCCTTCCCACCTCCACTCTCCTCTATCATTCAGGCCCCAACCCTGCCCTGTGCTGTGGGTGGAGTCTCCCTCTGCTGGAGGAGAGGGGCAATTGCATCGCTCTGGTCCGTAGGGCACGTTTTGGGTGTGAGGGGCTGAGCTGGGGTCGTCCACCTCATCATCTTCCTTTTTTGTTTGTTTTTGCTTTTGTTTTTGTCTCTTTTGAGATGGAGTTTTGCTCTTGTTGCCCAGGCTGGAGTGCAGTGGTGCGATCTTGGCTCACTGCAACCTCCACCTCCCGAGTTCAGGCGATTTTCCTGCCTCAGCGTCCTGAGTAGCTGGGATTACAGACACCCGCCACCACGCCCAGCTAATTTTTGTATTTTTTAGTAGAGACAGGGTTTCACCATGTTGGCCAGGCTGGTCTCGAACTCCTGGCCTCAGGTGATCCGCCTGACTCGGCTTCCCAAAGTGCTGGGATTACAGGCGTGAGCCACTGCACCTGGCACCCATCATCTTTCTTTGACTAGCACCATAGCGTCCTTGTTGGTTAGAACCCTTCCAACCTATCTCACACTGACTACCACAGGGATCTTTCTAAATGCCAAAATTCGGGCTGTGGTGCCTCCGCCTCACCTAAAGGATGAGGACCAATGCCTCGGAAACATTCTAAGAAGCCTAACAGGCCAGTCCCCATCCCCTTCTCCAGAAGCGCATCTCCCTCTTCCCGCACAGGCCCTGCGGCATTTCCCAGATGTGACAGGCTTGTTCCTCCCTCCGTAATGTCCTTCCACCTCTTTGTCTTGTATAAACTCCTCTTTAGTCCTTAAGGACTGAATAGGGACCCTCCCCAGGCTGAGTGAAGTCCTATGTGGGTCGTCATCGACACGCCTGTCTCCTGCACCAGAGGGAGAGTCCCCAGGAGGTCTCTCTTGTCCAGATCCTCTCCGTACTTCGGTGCAGACACTGGCACGTGCTGGGTGCCCAGCAAATGTGTTGAAGGAACGATTGGATGGGGTCCGGGTGGTGCGGGGTCGGGGAGTGCCTGGCCTGTGGGATCGGGGGAGCTCCAGTCCAGCTTGAGCTCCACCATGGACCAGCTCTGTGGTGTCGGACAAGGGTGCCCCTTGCTGAGCCCAGTTTCCTCATCTGTTAAATGGGGACAGTGATGCCACCTTTAGGGGCTGTTGCAGGATGGAAGGGGCAAAGTGCCCTAAATGAACAGTGCTCTCAGAGGTCTAGGATTCTGAATCAGGAACCCCTGTTTTGCAGGGTGCTTTCTTCTGCGACCTGGTACTCATCTACCTCATCAAAAAGAGAGAGTTTTACCGTGACAAGAAGTACGAGGAAGTGAGGTCAGTTCCGCTTCCAGGCCGGCGGCCCGAGGGCAGCCCTGTGGAGCACCCCCGTGGCTTCGAGCCTTTGCCCTGATGTGATATTGATGGCTGGGGTGGGAGGCAGGGGCTGGAGGGCCCGGGGAGGAGAAGTGTTCTGAGTACATGCTCTACAGAACCGGATTCGGCCTCGGCAGCAGTGGGAGGAGAGGGCGCTGTGGGCCACAGGGCGGGAGACGGAGTTCACAGGCTCCGCCTGATTCTGGACAAGTCCCAGGCCTCCCCGGGCCTCGGTTTCTCTATCTGGGAGATGAGAGAGTTGGTTTACCAATCGAGTGGTGTCTGCAGCACTTCTGTTTTGGGATTCTTGGACTTGGTGGTCCTGGTGCGCCGGGGCTGAGGGAAGCTGGAGTAGTAAAGGAAAGAAAAGCGGATATTTTCTTCCATGCAGAGGCTGTTTCCGGAGTTTCCTGGGCCCTGGGTTCGGTGGGGTGTGCGTGTTCACAGCGGCAGAGCACAGCGTGGGTGGGGAACCCTGATGACTGTGGGAGGGCGGGAAGGGGAAGGGGCTGTGGCTTCGGCCTTTGGGGAAGGCCTTCTGGAGAAGCAGGGATCAGAATGGGAATTGGGACAGACACCTTAGTACTCCCTCAGCACCCCCACAGCCTGGGACAGTGGGTGCAGGGTCTGCCTGGGTCATTCGCCTTACTGCACTCCAGCTATGGCCTGAACCCCAGCCCTGGGTTATAGCCGTGCGCCCTGACCCTGGCCACAGGCTGAACCCCAACCACAGTCCTGACTGTGCTGCTGAAGGAAGCAGGGTAGAGGAAGCCGGGTGGAGGACGCTGGGTGGAGGATGCAGGGTGGAGGACGCTGGGTGGAGGACGCAGGGTGGAGGATGCAGGGTGGAGGATGCAGGGTGGAGGACACTGGGTGGAGGATGCAGGGTGGAGGACGCTGGGTGGAGGACGCAGGGTGGAGGATGCAGGGTGGAGGATGCAGGGTGGAGGACGCTGGGTGGAGGATGCAGGGTGGAGGACACTGGGTGGAGGACTCAGGGTGGAGGATGCAGGGTGGAGGACGCTGGGTGGAGGATGCAGGGTGGAGGATGCAGGGTGGAGGATGCAGGGTGGAGGACACTGGGTGGAGGATGCAGGGTGGAGGACGCTGGGTGGAGGACGCAGGGTGGAGGATGCAGGGTGGAGGATGCAGGGTGGAGGACCCAGGATGGAGGAAGCAGGGTGGTGGCCTGCAGGGTGGAGGACCCAGGATGGAGGAAGCAGGGTGGTGGCCTGCAGGGTGGAGGACCCAGGATGGAGGAAGCAGGGTAGAGGAAGCCGGGTGGAGGAAGCAGGGTGGAGGACGCCGGGTGGAGGACGCTGGGTGGAGGACGCAGGGTGGAGGATGCAGGGTGGAGGACACTGGGTGGAGGATGCAGGGTGGAGGACACTGGGTGGAGGACTCAGGGTGGAGGATGCAGGGTGGAGGATGCAGGGTGGAGGACGCTGGGTGGAGGATGCAGGGTGGAGGATGCAGGGTGGAGGACGCAGGGTGGAGGACACTGGGTGGAGGACGCAGGGTGGAGGATGCAGGGTGGAGGATGCAGGGTGGAGGACACTGGGTGGAGGATGCAGGGTGGAGGACACTGGGTGGAGGATGCAGGGTGGAGGACGCTGGGTGGAGGACGCAGGGTGGAGGATGCAGGGTGGAGGATGCAGGGTGGAGGACGCAGGGTGGAGGATGCAGGGTGGAGGACACCGGATGGAGGACTCAGGGTGGAGGATGCAGGGTGGAGGATGCAGGGTGGAGGACGCTGGGTGGAGGACGTAGGATGGAGGAAGCCAGGTGGAGGATGCAGGGTGGAGGATGTAGGGTGGAGGGAGCTGGGTGGAGGACTCAGGGTGGAGGACGCCACGTGGAGGAAGCAGGGTGGAGGACTCAGGGTGGAGAGAGCAGGGTGGAGGATGCAGGGTGGAGGGAGCCGCATGGAGGAAGCAGGGTGGAGGACACCGGCTGGAGGAAGCAGGGTGGCGGCCTGCAGGGCGAGGGATTCTTCAAGGCCCACTCCGCCCGTCTAGGAGGGGAGGCACCCTGCAGGGCCGTCCCAGGTGAACAGCTTGTATCTTGTCCAGGGGCCTAGAAGACAGTTCCCAGGAGGCCGAGGACGAGGCATCGGGGCTGGGGCTATCTGAGCAGCTCACATCTGGGCCAGGGCTGCTGGGGATGCCGGAGCAGCAGGAGCTGCAGGAGCCACCCGAGGCGAAGCGTGGAAGCAGCAGTCAGAAGGGGAACGGATCTGTGTGCCCACAGCTCCTGGAGCCCCACAGGTGAGGCCACTGCTAGGCAGAGAGCCCGACAGCTGGGTCCTGCAGAGAGGGGTCCCCAGTTGGGGCTTCTCATGCCTGGCAGCTCCAGCGGACCCCTCTGCTCTGGTGTGAGCTGGCCACAAGGCAGGACATCTAGGAACTGGGAGAGCCTCTGTGGGAAGGGGCTGGTGCTTTACCCCGCAAGGTCCCCCTTAGCTCCCGAGACCCTGGATGGCCATGGGTGCCTGCTGTGCCATGCCGGCGCTCAGATGATAACAGCGCGCTGCTCCACAGCACTGACTCTCTGCCTGGAACCCCTCTGTACTCTCCGTATTTGTTAACTCATGTAAGCAACTGAATCAGATAGACACCGATCTTCCCCATTTTACAAATGAGGAAGCTGAGGCACAGAAAGGCTCGGTAATTTGCTCAAGTCACACAGCCGGTGAATGGCAGCGCTGAGATTTGAATCCCGGCAGTGTCTGTAGGATGAGGTTCTCCTGAGTTACTCTGCCTTTGCCGAACGTCTCTGTGCTCAGATGACCCCCCCTCAGCCCCTCTTCTGTGTGCGATTCTGGGGCTGCCCCGGCCTCAGGAGGGTGCTGGCCGTGCTGCCAGGGGGGTCCTTGGGCCGCGATTCCTGGGGGCGCTGGCTTCTCTGCAGACGAGGCTCAGCCTGCGTGGGGAGGGCGTCTGGCTGGGTGGGGGACCTGTCTCGGGCCTGCTCTGCGTCTGCCTTGCAGAGTACCTGTGCGGTGAGCAGGTGCCTGGCCCTTTCTGTGCCTTGTTTTCCCTTTTTTCCCCTCCCAGTGGGGGCTGGACACCTCCTGCTGTCAGACTGGGGTTCTGTGACTCTCTTGCAAACCACACCCCAGGTACTCACTGACCTTGGTGGCCTTTCTCCTGGCCCAGCTTTCATTCCTTGCTGACTCAGGAATTGGCAGCGTTCAGCTGGGAGCTGGGCCTGGGCAGGGAAGGAGCAAGAAATAGACTGGGCTGGAGAAGAGTGAGGAGAGAGAGAGGCAGGGGCTGCAGCAGTGGGGCAAGGAGGCTGGAGGCTAGGGGTCCGTATGGGGTAGACCCAGAGCCTGGCAGCCCTCCTGTGCTCCCTGAGCTGACTCTTACTTCCTGGGTGCTCACTTGAGCTCCCATTCTGAGCAAGCGGGAAGCCCGACGGCCTGGCTTGTCTTGGCTGAGCCTCGCTGAGGCTTGTGGGAGGCTGTGGACTCACAGGCCCACGCTCCAGCTGCCACCGCAATTGCTGCTACTCCTTGCCGGGGCAACTCCAGAGGCTTCTGCCTGAGCATCTATGCGTGCTGGGCTTCCGCAGGAACCCTGGCAGGCTGTGCTCTCTCTGAATGCTCTGCCTGCCTGCAGTGCTGCCAGGAGCGTTGCTGCCTCTGGTGAGGCTGGCCCACCCACCGGCTCCCGACAGTCCTCTCTGCCCTGTGCGCCCCCTCCCGCCCACACACAGGTCTGGCCATTTGCAGAATGCACAGGTGAATTTGGAGCAGCTGCAGACAGTGGAGATGTAGCCAGGGCTGCTGGCTACCAGCAGTGTCGCTGAAAACTTTGGGGCCAGAACAACCCGCAGCTCTGAACTGGGTAGAGGAGTCTGTGCCTGCATGAGACAGGGGCTTCCAGGCACAGCCATCTCTCCTGAACTTTGGGATCTTGCTGCAAGCTTTTTGCTGAGTGAGGAGGGGAGCCTCCCAATGGTCAGAGGGGCTCGGACCTAGAAGAGGAGTCCCTGGAGCAGGTGTCCAGGGAAAGGGACAGGCCAGGGTGCTGAGCGGAAGTGGAGTGTTTGGATTTTCCCTCAACCTGGCTGCACCTTCACTCATTCATATGAGCTGTAAACATGTATTGACGCATGCTGTGTGCTGGGCCCACCAAGAGGTGCTTAAATGAGATGCTGACCTAACCTCAGGGAGAGGGGCCCGCGTGTAATTCCTCCAAAGCCAACAGAGACATCACAGCCAGGCCCAGCCACTCCAGCTGGCCTTCCTCTAGCCTCTAGCAGGGTTTCCGAAATCCCTGCCGAGAATGATGGTTGCTCAGAGAAAGCTCTTGGACAACACCCAAGGGGACATTTGGGCTTGCCCCAAGGATAAAATTTAAAGGTGGCCATGGAGGCAACCAGGAAAGGACTGGAGCAGTCAGGAGGCAGCTGGCTCTTAGTGGGGAAGCCAGCTCCTGGGGAGTCTAGGTAAGATGGGGAAGGGGAGGCAAGAGGCCTCTGCTCCATCTGACTCCACCAGCCTCGGGACGCCCGGGGAATATGGACCTGCCCAGATGGGAGATACAGTCGCCTTGACCCTGCCGAGCTCCTGCCCTCCCCACCCCTCCTCAGAGGCTGGGCCTGAAGTGCTAATGAGATCAAGGATGGCGCCACTCAGCAGGTGTAAACGGGCTGAGTTAGGGAGGCCCTCATTCCCCTCCCTCCGTCCCCACCTGTCTTATGCCACGGCCACACCCACCTACCGCACCCTCAGCTGCTCTCTGCCTCCATCGCTGTAGGGCCTTGCTTTTTATTTATTTATTTTTTTGAAATAGAGTCTCGCTCTGTCACCCAGGCTGGAGTGCAGTGGCGTGATCTTGGCTTACTGGAACCTCCGCCTCCCAGGTTCAATCGATTCTCCTGTCTCAGCCTCCTAAGTAGCTGGGATTACAGGTGCCCACCACCATGCCCGGCTAATTTTTGTAGTTTTAGCAGAGATGGGGTTTCACCATGTTGGCCAGGCTGGTCTCCAACTCCTGACTTCAGGTGATCCGCCAGCCTTGGCCTCCCAAAGTGCTGGGATTACATGCGTGAGCCACCAAACCCGGCCAAGCCTTGCTATTTAAAGTGGGGTCCAGGGACCGGAGCCTGCTAGAAATGCAGGTCCCAGCTCCCCCGCCCCCCACCCAAATCAGAACCTGTGTTTCAACAAGATTCCAAGGTGATCTGTGTGCACAGTGACATTTAAGAAGCCCTGGTTCTCAGGGGAAAAAGGCCAGCTTTGGTGGATGGAGCCAATTTCTAGGTCAGACTTACACGCATGCTGCCTAGAGACCAAGAGGCTTCCTCCCCCACCCTGAAAGCAGCAGTATGCTCAGCTGATTTAAGTTACAATATTTTGACTGGGTAATACTTACATGATTCAAAGTTTAGAAGGTGCAAAGGATAGTCAGTGAAAAGCAACCTCCGTCCTCCCGGTTCCCCAGAGGCAGCCAGTGTTACTAATGCAGGAGGCTCCCTGATTTTGCCGAAAACTCGTGTGGTTTCTTACACATTCACTCAGGTAATGAACTTCTCCTGACGCTGGCGCTTAAGACCCAGTCTCCCCTGTCAAAAATGGACATGAAGTACGTTTCGATGTTGGGCTTGGGAGCTGACTAGCTCTCTTCTCCTACCCCGTTGTATGTGAGTTGTCTCCCCGTAAACCCAAGGTGAGAAACCTGGAGCTCAGCCCTCGCCATTGCCCGAGCCACCTGGCAGAAAAGTGCTCCAGCGCCGCCCTCACTCAACCAGTCCCAGTGCTGTCTGGGCGGCTCCCTGGAAGCATCCTCTTTGGAGGGGTTCTCTCTGCACACAGAAAGGCGGGGGTGGTGAGAGCATCCCTCCACTGAGGCTTTGGAGAGGGATGTCAGGGGCCCAGGGACATGGTCTCCAGAACAGGAACCCTCCTAGAGCAAAGCAACTTCCTCGCTTTGGGTTTTCTGGGAAGGGAACCTGCAACAAGCCTATACTGCTCTCTGATTAGAAAGTAAAGATCCAGGCTGGGCGCAGTGGCTCACACCTGTAATCCCAGCACTTTGGGAGGCCGAGGCGGGTGGATCACGAGGTCAGGAGTTCGAGACCAGCCTGGCCAATATGGCAAAACCCCATCTCTACTAAAAATACAAAAATTAGCCGGGCATGGTGTCCACATGCCTGTAGTCCCAGCTACTCGGGAGGCGGAGGCAGGAGAATCGCTTGAACCTGGGAGGCAGAGGTTGCAGTGAGCTGAGATCATACCACTGCACTCTGGCCTGGGCGACAGTGAGACTCAGTCTCAAAAAAAAAAAAAGAAAGTGAAGATCCAGGTGATCCACTTAGGTGTGTCACTTCTTCACTGACGCAAAGCCTTGCATTTTTATAACTTGGTGACTTTTAGGTTTGGGAGGAAGCAAAAAAGGCAGGGGTCATGGCTGCTGATTTTAACCAGACTTCGAAATGGCTGGCAGAAGCCACAGAACCTGAGGATAGTCATACTATTTGTTTCATATTGCAACAAAAATGTCTTCCTAGCCGGGCACGGTGGCTCACGCCTGTAATCCTAGCACTTTGGGAGGCCGAGGCGGGCAGATTGCCTGAGTTCAGGAGTTTGAGAACAGCCTGGGCAACATGGTGAAACCCTGTCTCTACTAAAATACAAAAAAATAGCTGGGCGTGGCGGCGTGCACTTGTAGTCCCAGCTACTCAGGAGGCTGAGGCAGGAGAATTGCTTGAACCCGGGAGACGGAGGTTGCAGTGATCCAAGATCGTGCCACTGCACTCCAGCCTGGGCGACGGAGCGAGACTCCGTCTCTAGAAAAAGGAAAATGTCTTCCTACAGTTAGTCATTCCTTCAGCCAGGAAATATTTATGGAGTCCCTGTGACATGTCAGGTGTTGGACCAGATGCTGCTGAGACAGAGATGAGCAACACAGACACGATCCCTGCCCCCGAGGGTTTCCAGTCTAATGGGGCATTGAACCCTTACCAAATGATCACACCCGTCATCACAGACGGAATGGGGTGTCGGAGAGGTCAGCGAGTAGTAGCCAGAGAAGGTTTCCCCAAGGAAGTGACCTATGAGTTGAAATCTGAAAGGTTATAGCAGCCTAACTAGGTGAGGGGGAAGCATTCCAGGTAAGAGAAGCACAGGTGTGAAGAGACGCTTTGATATGGGAAGGAGCAACGGAGAACCTGGGTGAAGGCGGCAGACAGGAGCCAGGTTTGGTGAGGCTTTTGTTTAATGAAGTTGACGGTCTTTAGCTGCAAGGTTGCCCCTTTAGACTTTGCTTCCTTAGAGGATTTAACCTCATTGTTTCTTCAAGGCCGGCCAAGCCTTCCAGTGACCTCTTGACTGCCCATCAGGGGCCCCGTGCTCAGAAGAGCCAGGGATCGCCTGACAGCTTCCAGACAGTGTCACACTCTTCCAGTTTCCTTGCTTTTTGCACAGCCCCCAGCTCCCACCATTTTTCTGCATAATCTTGGTGCAAGAGTGGGAGCTCATTACTCTGATGGAAACTGGCTTTTTTTTTTGTATTTTTTTTTTTTAATTTTTTGAGACGGAGTCTCGCTTTATCGCCCAGGCTGGATGGGAGTGCCGTGGCGCGATCTCGGCTCACTGCAAGCTCCGCCTCCCGGGTTCACGCCATTCCCCTGCCTGAGCCTCCCGAGTAGCTGGGACTACAGGCGCTCGCCTCGCCCGGCTAATTTTTTGTATTTTTAGTAGAGACGGGGTTTCACTGTGTTAATCAGGATGGTCTCGATCTCCTGACCTCGTGATCCGCCCACCTCGGCCTCCCAAAGTGCTGCGATTACAGGCATGGGCATGAGCCACCGCGCCTGGCCGGAAACTGGCTTTTAAATGGGGAGAAGTGAAGCATGAACTGTAGCTCTTTTCAGACTTGGGAAGGCCCTTCTCCCTGGGCACTGGTTGCCTCACTGGGAAGATGAGAGTGCCAGCCTCTCAAGAGCTCCTTTCTGTTCTGATATTCCAGGAGCACGTGAATTGCCTCTGCTTACGTTCAGGCCCTGTCCTAAACCCAGCCGTCTAGCACCCAGTGATCCCATGCCTTTGGGAATCCCAGGATGCTGCCCAACGGGAAATTTGTACATTGGGTGCTATCAATGCCACATCACAGGGACCAGCCATCACAGAGCAAAGTGACCTCCACGTCTGATGCTGGGGTCATCAGGACGGACCCATCATGGCTGTCTTTTTGCCCCACCCCCTGCCGTCAGTTCTTCCTTTCTCCGTGGCTGGCTTCCCGCACTAGGGAACGGGTTGTAAATGGGGAACATGACTTCCTTCCGGAGTCCTTGAGCACCTCAGCTAAGGACCGCAGTGCCCTGTAGAGTTCCTAGATTACCTCACTGGGAATAGCATTGTGCGTGTCCGGAAAAGGGCTCCATTTGGTTCCAGCCCACTCCCCTCTGCAAGTGCCGCAGCTTCCCTCAGAGCATACTCTCCAGTGGATCCAAGTACTCTCTCTCCTAAAGACACCACCTTCCTGCCAGCTGTTTGCCCTTAGGCCAGTACACAGAATTAAAGTGGGGGAGATGGCAGACGCTTTCTGGGACCTGCCCAAGATATGTATTCTCTGACACTCTTATTTGGTCATAAAACAATAAATGGTGTCAATTTCAAACGTGTCCTGATTTTTTTCTCTTCATGTTTACCCATCTTTTTTTTTGAGATGGAGTCTCGCTCTGTAGCCCAGGCTGGAGTGCAGTGGCACGACCTCGGCTCATTGCAGCTTCTGCCTCCCAGGCTCAAGTGATTCTTCTGCCTCAGCCTCCTGAGTAGCGGGGATTACAGGCGTGCACCACCATGCACGGCTAATTTTTTTTGTATTTTTAGTAGAGACGGGGTTTCACCATGTTGGTCAGGCTGGTCTTGAACTCCTGACCTTGTGATCCGCCCACCTCAGCCTCCCAAAGTACTG